>NC_000013.11:90495403-90798433 GCF_000001405.40 Homo sapiens | reverse complement strand
CCCCTTTTAGTACAAGATTTTATGAGTCTGTTGCTTTGTGTTATTTGCAGAATCAACACTATTTGTGTGAAAAATAGTTTTGTGAAGACTATGCTCCTAGGTAGAGAAGAAGGTAAGTCTGATGCAGCCCTATCTGTTAGGATTTTGAGGAATAAAAGAGAAAATCTCCTAGATGTGTTTAGGCGACAGACGCCTACTGATTTACGAGGAGGCTTAGAATATCTCCCTTGGGAAACTTTTACTCCAACCCCCTCCCCAGAAAAGCCCTTTAGTACCTGACACCTAATAGAAAGTCAAGTTTATGAATCAGTTCAGCCTTCAGTGATGCACCTGCTCACACTTGGAGAGGTACTACAAAGGAGGAGTAGTGCTTAAGAACATGGGCTCTGGAGCCTGCCTTTCCAGGTTTGTAATCCCAATTCTATGCGATGCTAATGGAGGCATCGCATCATGGAAAACTTACTTAACTTCTGTTTCCTCATCTGTATATTAAGGGACAATTCCTCATGGCACCCCCACATGTCTGGTGACAGATTTTGTCTTGGCAACTTTTCAAGGATATTTAGAAAGCAAACAGTCTTGCAAAATAGTGACAGGGTCTCCCTGTGGGTCATAAGGCAGATTTGTTTCCTGATTAGAACAACATAGATTAATGACTCCCTCCCTCCCAAACCTTTGGGCAGGTTTGATTGCAGTCACAAAAGTCATTGTGGTTTTTGCCATTACTTTTGATGGCAAAAACTGCAATAACTTTTGCACCAACCTAGTAAGACAGGTTTTATGGAGCTTGGTGCTACTTATTTTTGATCCAAACCTACTGTGTACAGTGTTTGCCTGGCCCCTGCCTAACCATCTCCCTCATGGGACTTGGGTTGGGGAGAGCAAGTGAAACTGAGGTGAACATGAAGTTCTTGCAGCTGCCGCACCATTAGTAATGAAGTTTTCTGTCTCTGACCCTTCACGTTTGTGTTTTCTGTCAGCATCTATGAAACTGGGCAGGCTAACTAGAAAGCAAGATAAAATCTCCAATGCTTCATAGTTCCTGACACTGCAAAAGCAAATAAAACAACAATACCTTTCTCATCAAATTGTTACAAAAATTATATTACTAACATTTCTAAAAAACTCATAAAGGTCGCTTGTATATCATATAAATATTTGCTATATAAAACAAAAAATAAAGGCTATAATTTCATTTCTCAAAAGTATTTTCTCTCACAAGACTATGAATTCTCACATGTATATATTCTTATATTCAAAAGGACTTTAGGAATACACATAGCTGGCAAATGTAGTTGGCACAACATCTATATTTTCATTATTCCCATATTAAAGACTCTGTGAAACTCAAAGACTTAAATGTGAAACTCGGCTCCACTATTGACTAGTTTTGTGGACGTTAAGCCTCCGTAATGAGTACTTATCTCAGGCCCAAAAGCAAGTATAAGTTTACTTTTTCATGATTAAATTTAATTTCTTTTATGATAAATATTCCATGGGATGTTAAAAACCAAACTCTGTTAATGCAGGGTTTTTTGTTTGTTTTTTTCTTGAGACAGAGTCTTGCTCTGTCACCCACACTGCAGGGTAGTGGTCTGATCATAGCTCACTGTAGTCTGGAACTCCTGGGTTCAAAGGATCCTCCCATCTCCGCCTCCCTAGCTGCTGGGACTACAGACACATGCGACTATGCCCAGCTAATTTTTTTTTTCTTTTGTAGAGATGGGTTGCTCTATGTTGTCCAGGCTGGTCTCGTACTCCTGGCCTCAAGCAATCAATTCTCCTGCCTTTGCCTCCCAATGTGCTGGGATTACAGGTATGAGTCACTGTGCCTGCCAGTGCAGGTTTTTTATCATTATTTCTGAGCACTGAAGATCTATGTGGAATCAAGGTAAGAGGCTTGGGGGAGAGAAGATCTTCAGCTGTCATATCATATCAACTGCATACGCAGACAGACTGAAATTTATGTCATCCAGGAGTGAATCCAGGTTTTGTAACTACTGATTATTATACATTCAGTGGAGGGTTTAATTAAAATAAGACAGAATTATGAACATAAAATTAGATCTAAAGGAAAATATATATTTAGAATGCAGAAATATATTATTACATTTTACAACTGTCAAAAAGCTGATCAACATCAGCTTGAATAGCATAACTTCCAGAGAAATAACAACTCACTCTGTTAAACTTCTTGTTGTTTACAATTTTGACTCAGTTTTAATGGAACCCATTATCTTTTTAAAACAAGTATTTTTAAAATATAATTACTGCGGAGGAAATAGGTAACTTGTGTTTCCCTCTTGAATTTTGATATTTTTTATTGATAATTGTGATCACAAAATATGATTTCACATGAAGAAAAATTCACCGTTCATTATAGTTCTAAAGGTTTGTCACCTACAAATGAAGGGGTTCTGGTAAATTCTATATGTATGATTCTTATAGATCTAACTTTATGTATGACATTAATAAGTATATATACTGCACCATCAAGTACAACTGGAAGAGAAAATCTTCTGGTAGAGATGATATCTCATGGAATATCTTATGATTCTGCACATTTCAAATCTTATTTCCACTACCCATATACTTCCATTGCTAGGTAATCTCTGGCAACATACACTCAGGTTATTATACCAGCTAAGAAAGTGAAGTGGGTAGTAAAATTATTCCTGAAAGTCCTTCACTCACAGGAGGCTAGCAAGAATACAGTATACTTAAGAATCACCTAAATATATGCCAGTGAATTCCAACTATATGTATTGCCAATTTCACTCTCTTTGCCAGGTCCCTAAAATGCCTGCAACCACTCTAATACCACCCTACTCAAGTGGAGAGGTGGTAGAGAGGAAGTCAGTGTGGAAAAGGCAGTGTTCTTAACAGATTGCAAATAAAATATTTCGTGAATTTGTAAAAAGTAGATGACAGGTCTAGCTTCTGGAAATATTAGGATATCATATAGAAAATTAAAGCTTCTTCCAAAGACAATTATGCTTTCCAGACAAATTATTTTTTTTAAAGTAACTGTTTGAAGACACAGGAGGGTGACCCAAACCAGGCAGAAACCAAAAGGTATATGATGCTTGAAAGAAGAAAAGGACTGGGTGAAGTGGTGGACCAGCCTCCTTAGGAGGCTGAGGTGGGGGAAGATTGCTTGAGGCCAGAAGTTTGAGGCCAGTCGGGGCAACATAGTGAGATCCTTTTTCTCTCCAAGAAAAAAAAAGAATGAAACAGGAAAGAAAGAAAGAAGAAAAAGAAAAGAAGGAGGGAGGGAGGGAGAGAGAGAAAGAGAGAAAGAAAGAAAAAGAAAGAAAGAAAGAAAGAAAGAAAGAGAAAGAAAGAGAGAAAGAAAGAAGGAAACAAGGAAAGAAAGAAAGAAAGAAGAAAGAAAGATAGTTAGATTGTATGAAACCTAGATCTACCCAGCTTTTTTCCTTCCAGACAGTGCCCATAAAATAGTGCTCAAGCAAATCGTGGAGTCATAATGGAATAAGAAGCCGGAGGCCAGAGTTCAAGGTCAACAGCAACTAGAAATTGAGAAAAAAAAAAATTAGAGAAGAGGGAGTTACAAATAAGGGAGTCAAAAATCTGCACACAAACTCTTCTCGGACTCTTGGCTGTTTTTTGAACTGTCCATACATGGAGCTAGGCTTTCAAGCTTCTCGGAAGAAGCAAGAGCTTGAAGCCTGACAGCAGAGTAGAAATATCGGCAGGCACTGACTACTAAGGAGACAAAATGTAGAGTTTCATTCCTGCCAGGTGAAAGTCTTTTTGAAGAAATTATCAAGGTGATACTAAAATTTATATGGAAATGCATACATGTAGGATAGTCAAAACAATCTAGAAAAAGCAAGAACCAATAGGAAAGGTATCTGCCTCTGACTGTAGGATGTACTAGATGAGGTCACTATAGAACTACCTGGGGTGATGGGCATGATCTATAGCTTCATAGGACTGGATTGGTAATTATAGGAAGATACACATTTGCCAAGATTCACTGAACTTGATGGGCACTTTAAACACGTGCATTTTACTTTTACCACATATTCTTCAGTTATAGGATATTGGAAAATAATGGGCTAATTTCAACACATCTCATGTCCTTGGAGGAATTTAGACAAGTTAGGAGCCCTGAAACTAAGCTTCAACAGCATCATGAAAACCCTGTCTGGCCAGGCATGGTGGCTGATGCCTATAATCTCAGCACTGTGGGAAGCTGATGCGGGTGGATCATTTGAGGTCAGGAGTTCAAGATCAGCCTGGCCAATGTGGTGAAACCCCATTTCTACTAAAAATACAAAAATTAGCCAGGTGTGGTGGCTTGTGCTTGTAACTCCAGCTACTAGGGAGGCTGAGGCAGGAGAATCACTTGAGCCTGGGAGGCGGAGGTTGCAGTGAGCTGAGATCGCGCCACTGCACTCCAGTAGGGGCTACAGAGTGAGACCCTGTCTCAAAACAAACAAAACAAAACAACAAAAAGAAACTCTGTCTTCGGAGTTGTTCTATTGTCTCTTCTGATTTCCGTACATTCAGATCACTGCTGCGGGAATCTCAGATTTGTTCTGCCCCTCCCACACCTCTTATTTGTTCTGCCATTCCCACCTTTGCATCTCCCCACCTTAGAGGTACTGTGAAGTTTTGGCAGATCCTGTTCTCTCCCGGAGCTCGGAAACTTAGCAGAATTGTGGCATGTTACACCAGCTCTACATTTTCCTTTGGATCAGCAAAAAATCATACTATTTTTTACTTGAAATGCTGGAGCAAATGGATGATGTCAACAAGTTAAATTGTGGCCATCTGCCTAGAAGTACCAAATTAACATTTTTTTCTACTCCACTTGATAGCATGCTTAGGGAACTCTGGGCTCTTGCAATTTCTCCAGGGTCTAACCACATTACAAGTGCACAGGTTCACCACTGGATCTCCAAGTATGCTGAGTTTTTTCATCTTTAACCCTTAATTGGGTTCATTTAAAAGCCTTGATTATAGAGGAGAAGACTCCCTCTAGTCTCCAATGTCATTTGGTGTGAGGCTGGTTAGAAAGGTTTGAAACCTTACTCTATTTCTTAATATCCAAGTGACCTGAGAGAGATACGGATTTCAGGTCTTTGTAAGATTTTTATAAAATGTCACAGGGAAGGTATCTATAGAATATGTGTAATTACAACATACAGCTCCCAGTGTTTTTCAGAGGATTAAATAAAATAATGTAAGATATTTGTAAAACTTTCTTATGTTGTAAGAGTTCAACATAATATTTAGTACAGTTTATCGTTAGACTACAGTTTGAGAAACAAATGGAAATTTTTTTTATCAGAAATTACAAAATTCTATGGTATCTTAAATCCCTGAGGCATTGGGCATAAAATATACTAACTGTGGATGAATAGGGAAAAAGTTACTGAGCAACAAGAAATATATGAGGGGAAACACACCACTTTAATATATAAAAATAGTACCCTGAGATTCACTCCTCCAAGCCACAGTTTCATATGTATAAAATAGAGAAAAAAATTAGAATTATTATATTACATAGAAAAATTATTTATTCTTTTTTTTTTTAGCGAAATGCCTGACACACAGTAAGCAGTCAACAGTAAGCAGTCAACAATGTTAAGTGAATTGACTTGTACAATCAATCATTTCCTATGAACTCAGAGGAGAGGAACACATACAGGAATATATTTATCAAAAATAAAATGTAATAATAGGCAATTTCAAGTTATCTCCAAAGTATTACCTAAGCAAATAAGCCATCCACTATGAATATTGAGCCATAACTTTTCTAACTTAATGACAACTTACACTAATGTACTACATCCTATTTCAAAAAATCCTATTATGCTGATCGTCTGAGGGAATCCTGAAAACTTGTGAGTCAGATATCTCTATTAAGGAGAGGTTACAAGTCATGCCAGAGATGACACACCTCTCAGTGTCAGCACTGGAATAAAACCCTGTGTATTCTGATTCAAAGTCCCTAGGCTCTTCCTAATCCAGAACTTTTTCATATGTAAAAACAGAGCAAGCTATTTCTTACCCATCCCAACTTTCCTAATTAGGACCCCCTGAGACTGCTCTCTTATCCAAGTTCTTTCTGGCTTATTCTTCAATGAAAGTTTTTGACTCTCATCTTTTCTAATTAATTTTGAAACAGAACCATCTCGTGCATTCTTTACACTGGGTCTGAGCTACTGCACAGACTGAAAGAAAGATGGCAATATGTTGTGGGCATGGTGGGTCTGAGAACTTACATAAGATAAGTAAATGGAATTTAGATGTGTATGTCTGTTTAGAAATGGGCAGGAAAGAAAAAAGAACATAGTTTTCATTTATCTTCCTTTTAATCAGAACGTGAATTTGAAGAGATGAGGTCCATCCCTCAAGGCAGAAGGCTAAGGGCTCTGTAATCATCAGATATTAATCTATGCTAGGAAAGACTCTACTGTCTACCTCTTTCCTGAAATGGGGCAAATTCATCATTTAAAGGCATATCTTTGGTTTACCTTGTGAATAGAAGAAAACTTACATCCAGTAACCCTAATAATAATTAGTGGTATCAAATTTTATATTTTGCCAGTGTTTGTTTCTTTATATATAAATATTATCAAATAATGAAGACATTAACAGATAACAAAGATTTTTATAAAAATAGAGAGACTGTGCACCATGATGATAAGTATAGTAGTTACTAGCATAAGAAATACTCTCTAAAGTAGTGTTGGCATATCAGAAGTTAAAATGGACTTTTCATCATTATTCCTTTATGAAATTTTAACACTTTGGTCAATTTATTATGATACTGCAATTTTGGGCGAACTTGAATGAGTTCATGTGTTTTTAGGATACAATACACTTATGTGGAAGCATATGTTTTGCTTGAGTAATATAATTGTGAAATCAAATGCAGATTTGAACATTATTATCTAACAGCAATATACACACTCATGATTGAAGAGTCTTGTAGCATCATACACTAAAATCCTGGTATTTAAATTCCAAATTAAGTATTACTAACATCTTTGTTGGAGAGGACAATGTAAAGTGTCTGAATCATGTCTTGCTGTTACAGGAAAAAAATGCATCTAAAGTAAGTATTCAAGTATCTCATACTTGAATGTTAACAATGACATAAAATAAAGAGCATGGTGAGGTTGCCTGCATTTTACTGTGAAACAAAATATTGGTTGGTACAGCTTACAAAAGGAAAAAAAGGTAAAAAGGAAACCTGCACAATATTGCCTTAAATAAAACGATAATTCTCTAGATGAAGATCTAATCCCTAAAAGGTCTAAGTACAATCAAGAATTATCCCCAAATCAATAATAGGAGTGGCCTAAAATAATGATAGAAAATATCGTTTATCGTGGTATCACTCCCTGGAAACAAATATAAATGTTACGGATGAGTGTCAATTTCAAGGCCTTCCAATGGCCTAAGAATTTGTAATCAGGGCTTACTGTTTTTCACTGAATTGAGAAATAATTCTTCAAATCTGCATGGTATCTTTTGGGTACCCCCTAGTTTCTTTAGTGAAATAACAGAATTGGTCTAGGATGTGATTCTTGATTACTAAAGAATGACAGGGTCTCTTGGCAGTTTGGGGTAAATCTCTGGTACATGTCGTTGGAAACCACATACCAGACATTTGTGTCTTCTCCCTCCTTCTAGACTTCAGCTACTGGTAATTCTGTGTGACCTCACAGGGCACAGGGGAGATTCTGGGTTTCTCAAGGTCTGTATGGGGTCACAAGGTGTGACCAGCATCACTTCTGGACCTTGTCATTTGTCTCCTGTTGCCTCATGGCTAAGTCATGGGCAGAAGAGAGCTCTTCTCTGGTCTGTAGCAAAATGTCCCTTTGTTCCCATGAGGCTTGACTTTTGATATGTCCTAAGGAATTTAGAAAACTATATTTTCCTTCACAAAGCCTGGCATGCAAAGATTTTTCTGCTGCACCTTCAAAAATTCTGTTTTGGATACCAGAAGTTAAATAATAAACTCTGCTCTAACAATCCTTATGCCCTGTCCTTCAAAGCCTCCTCCCCTGTACCCTCCTCATCCCTACAGATAAATGCCTCAGGAAAACATGGAGAAGATTAGTATATGAAACTGTACAGGAAAAGAGTATACTAATTTTAAAAATAATATTACCTGTGTTATATATGTGTAAATGATTATTAATGGCTTGAATATATTGGTTTGAATTTCTGACTACTTTTACTTGGTCATTAGAAAAATTATTTTCTTATATTATAGTGAACATTTTAATATATTTTAAAAATTATAAAATTGCATTCTGGAAAGCTCGTGTGAGGGAACCAGCACAGCCTTGTCAACCTTATCTTGACCAATGAGAGAAAAAGAGGGCAAGAAAAAGACAGAGGGAGAAAGAAGATGAGAAAGACACACACACAGAGAGATTTGTGCTTCATTGTAGTCGCATAAAATAAAGTTAAATATTGGCATCTTTTTTCACATTCATTACTTACATTTTTGTCTATTCCTGAATCTGGCCATTTTTAGACTGAAATTTCTGTGATTTTGTTATCAATGTTTATGAACTCTTTATACATGGAGAGTATGAAATATCTGTCATATTTATTATAGCTCATTATTTTCCTTTAGTTTTAGATTTTATCTTTCTGATTGTATTGTTTGTTGCAATTGTAATTTCCATAATCCTTTTAGGCTTTAAATTCTGCAAGTAAATGAACCACAATTATTGCATTCTTGAATTAACCCCAAATACTCCATAGCTTCAGATACTTGTTTCTCAATAAACATTCTTCAATAAATAAATATTTGAATATTTTCTAGTCTTAGCTTGGATTGTGTTAGTATAAGTCCTTACAACTATCTAAAGAAAGATAAAATAATCAAAATGGGGAAAAGAAAGATTCAGCTTTTGCCGTGTAGAGTGCTTTGGCTTACTTAAAATTTTTCTTTTTAGTTATAACAGCAACTTTTTTTAATATAAATCATTGGAAACTTTAAAAGAAAACTGAAAAAGAACACAATTTACCATCCAAAACATTATTGATATTGATATTTTAAATATTTTAAAATATTTTCCCATTTGTGTATAGATGTATTTACTTTTACATTTTTATGTATCTGTGAACATAGTGAATATGTCAATGATTATTCCTTTTAAAACTAACTATATAAAATTTGGAGACTGAAGGGAATAATCTTCCTAATGTGTTTCAAGAATGATAATTTCATCTTTGTTTACAAATTGATATTGACAACTCCTTTCTCAAGTATTGTATCCTCTCAGTTGTTAAGATCAGCATTAGTTTTTGACAGTCATTAAACTTAAAAAAAAGCAGGCCTTCAGCTGCTGTTAGTGATTTTAGTAGCCACAGATTAAGAAAACTGATAATGACAAATGACAAATGAATTTATATTTCATACGTATTTTATAGAATACAAATTCATGTATATTTAAAGTGACATATATACATACATATCAGCACAAACTTGAAAAATGAACTCTTCAGTATATAGTCATGCATATGGCTTTTCAGACCGTTTCTGATACCTGCCTTCATCGCAATATCTAACTCCCACTTGAACTCCTCTATGGCTCACACCGTAGGAACCACTGTGTGAGGATGATAAATATATCTGTCAATCACCCTCAAAATTTATAATCTCATTAAAGTAAATTAACTCCACTTTAAAAAGGTTGATTCATCTATATTTTTAAATATAAATTTAAATTTAAATATAAATTAAAGCAGCTTAATTTCCTCATTCTCAAAGCAGACCATTTTGAAAATTACTTCCTACTTGTCTATCTCTCAAGATAAATAATGGCTTGAGGTCACAGCAAAATCCAATGATAATCTGCAGAATTATGGGCTACTTTAACCCAATCTGTGTAGGATATGTTGACATATGTCTCTATGGAGAGGAATGTGGGCATTTTCAAAAGACAAAAGAAGAACATTTTGTTTTTTATCAAGGAGACATTTCAATATTTTAAGTGCTCTTCTGAAATCCCATAAAATGTTTTCTTTCTCTTTAAATGTCAAGGTAATGTTCTCATGATTAATGTAAAATCAAACTCACAGCTCATTCTTTGCACCTTAAATGACATTAGCAGGTCGAGACAAACAATTATAAATAGATTTTTCTGAGGTTAAAGTTAAAACATTACCTTCAGAACTTAAATTCTTAAATAATGAATAATAATTTTTAAAATAGTTTCTGCTGTAAATATTTTTAAGATATGAAATAAATTTCAAAGTACCAAAAGGACAAAAACACTCTCAGATGCTCACAACAAATTTAATTGCATATCCAGCAGAGAGGCAGCTATATTTAAGTTTGTCTATTATTATTCAAATAATCAAATTTATTTAACTATTAAAATTATGCCAGCAATAATGTATGTTACATTTTATCATTTGCCACATTTCCAAATTACGCTACCAGGGTTATTTTGTTCACAACACTCCTAGGAAGCATATAGATTAAGTATCATTATCCTCATGAAAAACCCAAGGCAGAGATCACAGAGCCCAACTGAAGATCACATAGGTAATTAATGCTAAGGATAGGACTGAAAAGAAGATGGTTTCATTGTGCCAAATTTTTGTTCAACTAGATTGCCTGTCTCTACTGATAATAATATAAAGTGCTTTATAATAGTTAATATTTATAAGGTGAGCCTTAATTATTTATTCTGTAGTCAATGGTTGGTATGGTTTGGCTGTGTCCCCACCCAAATCTCACCTTGAATTGTAATAATCCCCACATGTCAAGTGTGAGGTCAGGTGGAGATAATTGAATCATGGGGGCAGTTTCCCCCATACTGGTCTGGTGGTAATGTATAAGTCTCATGAGATGTGATGGTTTTAAAAATGGGAGTTCCCTGCACAAGCTCTCTTGTCTGCTGCCATGTAAGATGTGCCTTTGCTTCTCCTTTGCCTTCCACCATGATTGTGAGGCCTCCCCAGCCATGTGGAACTGTGCATCTGTTAAACCTCTTTTCTTCATAAATTACCCTGTGCTGCATATGTCTTTATTAGCAGTGTGAGAACAGACTAATATAATGGTCTATATAAAAATGTGAAGAAAACAGATTGTGAGCACTGTAGTCAGGAAAATATAATATTGGTATAGAATACCAATATTAATATAAATAATAATTATGTGCCAGGCAGGAGACATACACAGTCAACTCCACATGGCTCCATTCCCATGGTTCTGATTGGAGGCTGTCCAGCACATTGCAACTGAGATGGTGGCCTTGATAATTCATGAATCATCATGAGAGCCATTCTTCCCTTTTCTTGAAGAATATCACAAGTTTACAGATAAATGGCTTTATAGCCCTGTCCTGTAGGATCTAAGTAGTTTGACAGCCTTCCTTTATTTATAATAAAAATTGCCTTTTCTCTATTGTCTAATAAAATGTTTCCCATTTCTACATGAGGCTTCATCAGAATACCCTTTAGTGCCTACATTTCTTCCAACAGACTATACATAACTATTTATGTATTATTTAAGAAGATGGAATCATTCTCTATAGCCCTGCTTTTTTTCTTTGTGAGTCCTGACCAGAATCACCTTTAAAGCTGCTTCCACATTTTTTAGTATCGGTTATAGCAGCAACCTATTTGTCAGTATCAAAAACTTTCTTCATCAATTGTGGCTGCCATAACAAAATTCTGTAGATTGGATGGCTTAAATAACAAATATTTCTCATATAAATATCAATATAAATAATTATCATGTCAATATTTATATAAATGATAGTATTATTGTCTATGAAACCATATATATAATATCCCATTATAAAATTATCTAATGAAGAGATGTAATAAATGAACAATAAGACTCAGCTATATGCTGCCTACAAGAAACTCATCTCACTTTTAAGGACACACAGAGACTGAAAGTGAAGGGATGGAAAAGATGCTCCATGCAAATGTAAACCAAAAGAGGGCAGAAGTAGCTATACTTACATCAGACAAAATAGTCATTAAGTCAAAAATTGTAAAAAGAGACAAGAACACTATAGGCTGGGCGCGGTGGCTCATACCTGTAATCCCAGCACTTTGGGAGGCTGAGGCAAGGGGGATCACGAGGTCAGGAGATCGAGACCATCATGGCTAACACGGTGAAACCCCATCTCTACTAAAAATACAAAAAGTTAGCCGGGCGTGGTGGCAGGTGCCTCTAGTCCCAGCTACTCAGGAGGCTGAGACAGGAGAATGGCATGAACCCGGGAGGCAGAGTTTGCAGAGAGATGAGATCATGCCACTGCACTCCAGCGCCTGGACAACAGAGTGAGACTCGGTCTCAAAAAAAAAAAAAAAAAAAAAAAAAGACAAGAACACTATATAATGATAAAGCAGTAAATATATGTGCACTCAACATTGGGGGCAGCTAAATATATGAAATAAATATTAAAGGATCTGAAGGAGAAATAGATTGCAATATAATCGTAGCAGGGAACTTTAATACTCCACTTTTAATAATGGATAGATCATCAAGACAGAAAACTAATAAGAAAACACTGGACTTGAACACTTTTCATCAAGTGATAATGGACATATACAGAACATTTTATTCAACAGCAACAGAATACACAGTCTTCTCCAACATACATGAAACATTCTCCAGGACAGATTATATGTTAGAGCACAAAACAACTATTAACAAATTTTAAAAGGCTGAAATTGTGTAAAGTATTTTTTCTGACCACAATGGTAGAAAACTGGAAATCAATAACAGAAGGAATTTTGGAAAATTCACAAATACATGGAAATCAGACAATATACTCTTGAACAACAAATGGGTCAATGAAGAAGTCAAAAGGGAAATTTACATATATTTTAAGACAAATGAAAATAAAAACACATTATACCCAAACTTATGGGACACAGCAAAAGTGGGTCTGAGAGGGAAGTTTTTAGCAGTTAATACCTACATCAAAAGGGAATAAAAATCTCAAGCAACTTACAGTTACTCCTTGAGGAACTAGAAAAAGAACAAACTAAGCCCAAAGTTAGCAGAAGGAAGTTACAAAGATCAGATCATAAATAAGTAAAATAGAGACCAAAAAAAGGTGAAAAGATCAATGAAACGGAATTGAATTTTTCAAAAGATAAAGTTGACAAACCATTGGCTAGATTAGGGAAAAAAGGGAGAAGAAAAGAAAATTAAAAATGAAAGAGTAGACCTTACAATTGATACTATAGAAATACAAAGGGTAATAAAATATTACTATGAATAACTACATGTCAGTAAATTAGATAACCTAGAAGAAATGGATGAATTCCTAAACAGGGACAACCTACCAAGACTGAAGCATGAAGAAAGAGAACATTTGAACAGACCAATAATGAATGGGGAAATTCAATCAGTAATAAATAGTTTCCAATTAAAGAAAAGCCCAGGACCATATGGTTTCACTGCTGAATTCTACCAAACATTTAAGGAAGCACTAATACCAATTCTCCTCAAACTATTCCAAAAAATAGAAGAGGAGGGAATAATTCTACACAATTTTTAGGAAGCCAACATTACTTGGATATCAAAGCCAGACAAGGACACCACAAGAAAAGAAAATTACAGGCCAATAGCCTCGATGATCCTCAACAAAGTACTAACAAAGCAAATCCAACAACATTTTAAAAGGATTTATGCACCATAATCAAGTTTGATTTATCCCTGGGATGCAAAAATCATTCAACATACAAAAATCAATAAATATGATACATCATATTAACAGAATGAAGAACAAAAGCCATATGATAATTTCATTAGATACAGAAAAAGCATTTGATAAAATTCAACATCCTTTTATAATAAAAACTCTCATCAAATTAGCTAGAAAAGGAATATGCTTCAACACAATAAATACCATATATGAAAAGCCCACAGCTAATATTATACTGAATGGTGAAAAATTAAAAGCCTTTTCTCTAAGTTCTGAATTAAGAAACAGGTACTTATTTTCCTTTTCTTAATTCAAAAAGGACACCTATTGCTTCTCTTCAATGTAGTAGTGAAAGTTCTTGCCAGAGTAATTAGCAAGAGAAATAAATAAAAAGCATTCAACTAGGAAAAAAAAAGAAGTGAAAGTGTTGCTGTTTACTGTCAACATCGTCATATATATAGAAAATCCTAGACTTTACCAAAAAACCCTGTTAGAACTAATAAATGAATGCAATGAAGTTACAAGATACAAATTGACACTCCGAAATCAGTCGTGTTTCTATACTCTAATAATGAACAATTCAAAAAAATTCCACATGTAATAATTTCAAAAAACTAAATATTTAGGAATAGATTTAACCAAGAAGGTAAAAAACAAGTAAACTTAAACCTATAAAAACTAATAGAATAAACTGAAAAGAGCATAAATAAAAGAAAAAATAACCTGTGTTCATGTACCGGGAGAAGTAATATTGTGAAAATGTCCATACTACTCAAAGCAGTCCATAGAGCATAGTGTCAATGCAATCCCTAAATTTCATTTTTCTTCATATAAATAGAAAAAGGAATCCTAAAATATGTATAGAACCACAAAATCCATGAATAGCCAAGGTAGTCGTGAACAAAAAGAACAAAGCTAAAGATGTCACACTATCTGATTTCAAGCTACAGACATAACTTGTTTGTTTGTTTTTTATACTTCACTTTATTGCACTTTGCAGATATTGCATTTTTTACAGATTGAAGGTTTGTGGCAACATTGCATTGATCAAGTCTATCAACACCATTTTTCCAACAACATGTGCTCATTTCAAGTCTCTGTGTCTGCATTTTTTAGCAATAAAGTATTTTTTGTATTGTACTTTTTTAAAGACATAATGCTGTTGCATGCTTAAGAGATTATAGTTTAAATATAACTTTTATAGGCACTCAGAAACCAAGAAATTCATTTGCCTTTCCTACTGTGATATTTGCTTTGATGCTGTGATCTGGATCCAAACCTGCAATATATCCAAGGTATGTCTGTGTACTACAAAACTAATGTAATTAAAACTGCATGGTACTGTAATAAAAATGACACATAAACCAGCAGAATAGAGAGCCCAGAAATGATTTTTGACAAAGCAGCCAACAACATACAATAAGAACAGGACAGTCTCTTCAAAAAGTGTTGCTGGGATAATTGGATATCTACATTTAGAAAAATGAAATTGGACCCTTATCTCACACTATGCACAAAAATCTGCTCAAAATTTAATAAGGACTTACATGTAAGAGCAGAAACTGTAAAACTACTAGAAGAAAACACACATGACAGTTTAGCAAAACTATATGACATTGGCCTGAGCAATGATTTTTTTGGATTTGACCCCAAAAGCACAGGCAACAAAACAAAAATAGACAAATGGGATTACATCAAACTAAAAACTTCTGCACAGCAAAGGAATGAATTAACAGTGTGCAGAGACAACCAGTGGATTGAGAGAAAATATTTATAAGCCCCACATCTGATAAAGGGTTTATATCCAAAATATATAAGGAACTCAAGCAACTCAATAGCAAGAAAACAAATAACTTGATTTAAAAAACGGGCAAGGGACCTGAATAGACTTTTTTTTTAAAAGACTTACAAATGGCCAACAGATGTATGAAAAATGCTCAACATTACTAATCATTACAGATAATCATTAGGAAAATCCAAGTTAAAACCATAATATCACCTCACACCTGTCCAAATGGTTCTTATCAAAAAGAGGAACTTAACTAGTGTTGGAGGATGTAGAGAACAAGGTACACTTGTATATTGTGGATGAGAATATTAATTAGTACAGCCATATGGAAAACTATACAGAGGCTCCTCAAAAAACTTAAAATAGAACTACCATGTGACTTAGCAATCCCACTTCTGGATATTTACATAAGAGATTTGAAATTAGTTTGTTGAAGAGATGTCTGCGCTCCCGTGTTCTTTGCAGCAATATTCACAATAGCCAACCTCAGCGTCCATTAACAGATAAGTAGGTAAAGAAAACCTGGTATATACACATAATAGAATACTCTTCAGCCTTAAAAAAAGAAGGAAATGTTATCATTTGCAACATGGATGGAATTGGAGAACATTATGCTAAGTGAAATAATCCAGGTACAGAAAAATAAATACCACAATGTGGAATCTAAAACAATTGAATTCATAAAAGCTGAGAGTAAAGTATAAATTACAGAAGCTAGAGGTGGAGAAATAAGGAGATGATGGTCAAAGGGTACAAAAGCTTAGAAAGGAAGAATGAGGGTTTTTTTCTTCAGATCAATTTCATAGCATGGTGAATGTAGTTAATTACAGTGTATTGTCCATTTAAAAATAGCTAAAATAATAAATTTCAAATGTTCTCAACACAAAAATAGTAAGCATTTGACATTATGGGTAGGCTAATTAGTTTAATTTAATTATTTCACATATTTATAAATCATAGCATCACATTATACCCCATAAATATATATACTTATACATTTTCAATTTATAAGAAACATTTTGAATATTTAAAAATTTGTCTAATGATCATTGAGACTAATATGACCAAAAAAAAAAAAAAAGATCTTAAAATCATGCTTGCTTTGGTGGCACATACGCTAAAATTGGAATGACTCAGAAGATTATCAGTGTCCTTGCAAAGGATGACATACAACTTCAGGAAGCACTCTGTATGCATTTTGTGAAACATGCTCTTGGAAATAATTGCTGAATTATAGATTTGAAAGGGATTCTGCAAGACTTTCAATGGTGGGTAACTACCTTTACTGGAAGTAGGTTAGCAATTTTTAAAGTCAGAATTTTCATATATTAAAGTAATTTTTAAATTTCAAATTACAGATCTTATTTGTGAAAGTAGTCTATTTTACTTCCTTAACTTTACCCTCCCCAATATTCTACTTTATTCTCATCCAGTGAATTTGGGAATGAATAATTATTATATTTTAAAATGATATCATTAAATGAAATATTGAGATATTATTTATAATCCACCAATTTATTTGTACTTTACTTGAAATATCCAGAGATAATTAAAAAATAACTTAGAGGCAAGAAAAGGCATACTAATATTGCAGAAGTACCATACATTTTTAAATTAAATTGTAATAAACTACAGTGTAAAATAATTTAAAAGATGTTTTGATAAGAACAATTTACTTCTTAACTTTTTTTAGCTGCTAAATTCATTTTTTCTCTCTCTATATATGTTCACATTTAGAGATGCAAACTTTTAAGTACCACTTTATGATTAATTAAAAACATCTTTCCTACCTTTATAGTTATTTGAGCTTGAAAGTTCCTTTTTGAGAAAACATTACTGAAAAGTGTTAAGGTGAAAGGAAAGAGTGAGAAGGAAAATGGTAATTTTAGGAATATCAGCTTTTAAAAAAGTAAAGCATATTGAAATGCCAGTTTGGAAAAATATGTGCAGCATGGTAATTAGAGTAATAGAAGACAGTATGTGAAACGATATGTCTAAATTCAGACCTGACAAATTGAATGCATATGCAACTTGATTTAGGAAAAAGCAATTGTTATTTGTTCTCATCAAATGGAGAACTATCATATAAAATTAAAATAGAACAAGCAAATGAAGGGTAGAAATGCATCAGTTTAACAGGTGTACATCTTATTTCAAAATTGAGCATCCTAGAAGAAATAAAGGAGTAACTTTATGAGAACAAAATGCAAATTGAAATTCATATTGGAGTGATCTGCAATTAAAAGATACGTTGAAAGAAAGGCATTCTAGAATTAGTATAGTTTTCCTTGACAATATGCTCTGTTATAGAAAAGTCACAAGTACATATGGATTATAGACGTGCATAGCATAATGACTTTTCAATCAATGACAGAGCATATATATATATATATATATATATATATATATATATATATATATATATATGTGGTCCCATAAGATTATACTTTTTCTATGTTTAGAAAAAGCCCATATATAGGTTTGGTATAGCCTATATATACAGGTTTGTGTCCTAGGAACAATAGACTATACCACATAGCCTAGGTGCGTAGTAGGCTATCCCATCAAGGTTTGTGTAAGTAAACTCTATGATGTTCACACAAAAATGAAATATCTAAGAACACATTTCTTGGACTTCATTCCTATTGTTAAGCACTGCATGATTGTGTATTTCTTAAGTATCATGTGAGAAATTTAAAAAGAAATTTAAATGCTTGTGCCTAATTTGATCTGCATCCAAAATAATCTTAGCATCCATGATTATAAAGTATTGAAAACACGTTAGTAAAATTAACGTTACTTTATAATAATGGAGGGAAATGGACTTAACTCCATTTACACCTCAAAATTTCACACGTAAAAATATTCCATTTTTAATGCAATTTTTTACAGCATTTAAGTTGATTTTAGTTTTTAAAAAGCCCTATTATAACAGAAACTGTTCATTCAAAATTATTTTGTGTTTTCCTTCACTATTGTCATTTGTTTCATTCAAATAAAAATGTTAGCAATTTAACTTCTTAACTGATAGTATCTGATAAGTCCATGTGTTCTTCTTATGATAGATATGTTTACTCATATTCCTACCATAAATAGTTCTAACTTTCTCATGCATAATTCTCTTGGTGGCCGTATTTTTTATTATATATTGCCCTGCATCCTCTTGGTTAATAATGAAGAATCCAGAAAAAGTGCTTGACTCAGAGGCAATGAATCCAGAGCCAGGCCAGGTGTTTTTGAAATAAAAGATAAACAAAAACATTACTCTTAGGAAATTTAAACTAATTAAACCTGAAAGCTGAAAGAATAAGTTAATTATATAAAAATATCAGACGAATGGTCACAAAGAAGACTTAGGATAAAAATGTACTCAATGGAACATGTTTAAAGTCAAAATTAATCAGAAAAGGAATTAATTTTAAGCAGGGGGATGGTGGTAGAGAAAGGTGTAAAGTCACAAACAGATACCCCTTGAGAGGGAGAAAACTGCACAGTCTTATTGGTTCTGGATAACTTTCATGTCTATTTTACATCTATGTTCAAAATAAAATTTTTCCTTTGGATGGGTGTATCTTCTTTAACAGAACTGTGGTGTCCCAGATCTAAAGAACACAGAGAGTAACTTTTCAAACCATATAGGGGAGAAAGTTTCTTTATTCCAGCAAAAATTTTCTAAATAATTTTTCTAAGATCTCCTTTTACCCACAGGTCAGCAAATTGGGCTCCAGAATTATTTGATGCAATAGATATGCAAATAGAATCATGTAGCGCCTGTTTCTTAGGTTGAGAATTCTTACAGGTAGCAGAATTATCCTCATAATTTCCACCAAACTAACCCAATTGTTTATGGCTGAATCCTCTAAATAATCTAGGATGTCAGTCTCCATAAATATATACTCAGGAAAAATAAGTAGTAATTTGTGATCATGTGTTAAAATAAAAACAATGAGACAAATTATAAAGATAATTGGTAACACAAAAAGACAAACTTGAATATTGACTGCCCTAGTCATCAGAACAGTACCCACTTTAAATTCATTCACTTCAAGGGCCTCTCCTCCCCCACTCCCCAGATTTCAATGGTTAGAAATAGGAACTAGAAACCTCATTGTGACATTTATGTATTATTAAATGATAACACTTAATTCATTTCTTTTTCACCAGCTTAATTGTTAAAGATATTCATTATGCAGAAATCTTAGCCCCATTGACTCTTTAGTGGGTAAAGCTATTATGCCTATTCCAATAAGCTTAGCAACCTGTTGCATTTTAATTCTTTCTTCATGATAGCGAATGTTGAATAAAATTGAAATGCTTTAATTTATTATTTCAATCTAGAATTCAAAAATATTTTTAATAGAGTAAAAGGGCACCCATATGACAGGATCCACTTATTATAAGGGAGTACCTATCTAGTCCAGGTCCCCAGAGGGACAAAAATTCAAAATGAGTTCACATTTTATTTTTTTTCAATTACCCTCTTCTGTTTAGATTTTAAATTTCTGAGTGGCTTTTACTAATCTATATTCAAAACTATTTTGTTGGAGTATAAGGGCAATGGTTGTGTGTTAAAATTCACTTGGGAAAGAACAAGATCTACAAAGAAACTTTTTAAAAAATAAAGGAAGACAATATTTATTGTAAGAGCTGCTTTTTAGGCCTCTTTTCTTTGTCCTTGGAAAAATTTTAACTGAAAAGAAAGATCAGTTATACCTTTTTGCTATTCTCTTGAGTCCTGTGACAAGATTAGCTCTGGGAAGTCTGGGGGCCGAGTTGAATATGAGGCTCTAAGGGGGAAAGCAGGTCAAATTCAACCTCCAGAAGCTTCTCTGCTGCATTGGCTACCTGCGAGACTGTCAAGATTGTTTTGTGTCTTCTTGGGGTTAAAAGCCCTGCCACCTTTGCCCATGAATATGACTGTCCTATGTCTGTGTTTGGCCCTTAGGATTTCATTGTGCTTTCTGGACTATAGAAAATCAATTCAGAATTCTCAAGTGAATTATGATTATAAGTAATAATTTTACAAAATTATTATTTTGCTACAATTGAGAATATAAAATCTGTGATGCGTATTTGGCATTTTCAAAGACATTTAATAAAGTATTACTGCAGTACTTCTTGTTGATACTATTGATAACAAGGTTGCAAGCATGCCAGCTCTCAATTATTTAAGTCAGTGGGTAACTGTCAATGAGTAAAGGGTACTTTCATTTTAACCAATTGTGACAGTTTCCTCTTTTAACTCAACTAATGTCAGAAGCAAGTCCTGGAAATAAATTTGAACTATTGCATTTATTTTTCTTGTATTTACTCTTAATACATCCTGATATAGCTGCCACAGTGAACTCGGACTTGCAAAAATCATCAATGATTTTTATGTTATGAAAGCCAATGGGTATTTTTGGTGTTGTTATCTTGCTAACCTCTCTTCTTTCATTCACTTTATGAATTATTGAACTCTTCCCAGGCACTTGGAAAACAGAGTTGCAGAAGACAGAGACAGATCACGTTTTTATGATACTTACAATTGACAATGAACAAATTATACAGATGCTAAATGTCAGAAGAAGGTGTCAAGTGATTGAGAAGCAATCTCTAGTTTTGTTGTTGTTGTTGTTTGAGATAGAGTTTTGCTCTTGTTGCCCAGGCTGGAGTGCAATGGCAGGATCTCGGCTCACTGCAACCTCTGCCTCCCGGGTTCAAGCAATTCTCCTGCCTCAGCCTCCCGAGTAGCTGGGATTACAGGCATGCACCACGCCCAGCTAATCTTGTATTTTTAGTAGAGATGGGGTTTCTCCATGTTGGTCAGGCTGGTCTCGAACTCCCGACCTCAGGTGATCTGCCTGCCTTAGCCTCCCAAAGTGCTGGATTACAGGTGTGAGCCACTGGGCCTGGCCATGATTGCTCTAATTTTGAAGCTAGAAAGTGTGTCCCAGTGGGAGCAATTTTTAGTTGGGCTCTAAGTGTAAGTAAAGATTTGATTTGTAAAGTGGGGATAAGCAAGGATTTTTTTTAACACAGGGGAAAAGCAAGTTCTACCTCCTCACCTTTCTTTCAGTTACTCATCTAGCAATAGCACTAAATCTAGTGAGAAATAGTAAGGCTTTAGAATTGGGGATTGAAAAGAATGAATGTATTCCATTGTACTAAAATGAAGATTCAGAAGGACTTAGTGATTGGGTGGATGTGAAATGAGGGAGAGGATGAAGTTAAGAAAGTCTCAACATTCTGGTTGGGTCACTAAGTGGGTGATGGTGCCCTTTACTAAATCTGGGAGCACTGGAAGAGGAGTAGGTTCGGAGAGAGCTCAGGAAGCCAATTTTGCATGTGTTAAGATTGAGAGGCATGAGACGTAAACTAGTGGCAGTGATAGGGAGGCAAATATATGCTGCTCCAGAAAAGAGGCTAGCGATACAGATAGGTATCTTACCCTAGAAACATCCCAAAGTCAACTCATCATCACACAAAACAGTATGTGATCTGGATTGTCCTACAGCTTTGTGATCGTGGGCCCTGTATCCACTTTGCTGTCAAAGCCAGAAGCCTGAGATTTACACTTACGCCTCATATTTTATCATTCTCCAAGTCTTATCCATCACTGTGCCCCTCCAATTCTAGTTTTTAAATTTCTTTTGAAGCTACCCACTCAGCCTCATCCTTTTATTTCATTCTTTACTTCCTCAAGCTCTCTCCTGGGGAATGGAAATATCCTGCTAATTAAAGTTGTTTCCTCAGCAGCACCATGTCCTTAAAATGAACATTTATATTGCTGCCAGCATGAGCTATTTAAAATAGAAACATTTTTGTTTCCCTTTTTCTCTTCTTCCCAGTGTCAACTTCTAATAGGTTTCTGTACGCATTTTGATTTTACCATTTTAGTTCTTTATCTCGCATTTTCCCTTTTTCCAGAATATACATGGGCATAATTTCTCTTCAATTCTTTTTTCATTTGCCAATTGTTTTGCTTACGGGCTAGCCAAAATACATGTAAATGCATTATTTTCATTATGGAGGCAACAGAGAAGAATAAGACAATGCGTAACAGCATGGCCTATAGAGAGTGAGTGCTTAGATTCAGACACCAGCCCCAATATCAACCCAAGTATTGTCCAAGCCTGATGACCTTGGGAAATTTACTTAACCTGCCCAGTGCCTCTTTGTCTTCACATATAGGATGTGGGTAATGATAGTAAGTATTTCCTAGAGTTGTTTCAAGGATTTGATTATCTAATACATTAAAGTGCTTTAGTATATTTTAATGGTAACTGAAACAAAGAAAGCATTGTATGTTCCTATTTCTGTTAACCATATGAAGCATTATTTTGGAATACTAATAAGCAGAGGGATACATATAATATTAATTTACTAAATTAACTCAGTTTTTACTGTAGTCAAGATTCATCAAATACCTGGTGTGTTTCTGGCATTGTCCTAATACTGGTTATGTGGTAACAAACATACAAATCATGGTTCCTTTCCTCGGGAAACTAATCACCTAAAGGAAGAAATACACCTTACACATTAGTGAGGCGTGATATGTTTATCAACACCTAACCATTATGCGACTACCACATATTTAATATTTTTAAAATAACATTTCTATTTTTTCCCTAAACCTACTTTCCTTTGCTTCTTGTTTTTAATAATGGAAATATGTATTCATTTGCTTTATTCAGAAAGAGTACTGTCCTCCACTCCTTGCCCTAACTTTTATTCAACAAGTACTTATTGGGTGCATTGTATGATGATATAACATTGAATGTGATGGACACAACCCTCCCCTGGCTAGATCCTATGTTATCCTATTGTGAATATCTTACAATTCATGGGCGACTTCCTCAAGGAGGTAGTGGTCTTGGTGGTGGAAAGGGTCATACATTTCTAAAATATTTCATGAAATTGTCAAATCATGCAATGAAACAATTTAAGAGCTGCTGTGAGGCAGCACGTGCTCTAAAGTGAAGAAAACAGGGATGCAGAGATAAAAGAGGCCATCTTCGCAAGGAATGGTCATTGAAGCGTTTTCTGTTAGAGATGAGATTTGAGAGGGTTGGTATTACAGAGCGGTCATTAAATCAAATTCGTTGTTTTCTCATTGCAGCCGATTATTTTCATTTATTATCTGGCCAAATACCTGAATGTTGGGACTGTCTCAGCCCCAGTGTGGAGGGTGAGGTCCTGGAAGTAGAAAATAACAAGAAAGAAGACACCCGGTTTTTAAAATAATTAGCATCTACCTAGTCACTTCACAGGGGATTCTAACCCATCTTAACCTATGCTAATCCCTAAACCAGTTTTCATTATGTATTTATAATTTGTCCATTTTATTTAGACTGTGTCTGTATATAATTATGAAAAATGACTGAGATGGCTGGTGGATTTTTTAGGACTTTCAAAGTCCTGGAAAAAATAAAGCATAAGCTAGTTTGGTTTGGAAGTGGAATTGATGGGGGAAAATCTGGGTGACCCATTAGAAAAGTAGGATTAGACTCACAATCGCCTCTTCCCCAAACCTAAGTTAGCTTTACCTGTTGACTCCATGTTCACCTCCACTAATTCGTGTTCCCATTAGCAATATCGATATATTTATCTATTCCCTTGCCCAACTGACAAACGCTTTAGCTCAAGCTCTGCTGGCAAACTTGTTTTACAAGAGATCTTAGTCATTTGTCTAAGTTCTGCCTGCTGCATGACCCTGGCTTTCCAGACAAAATTTGGTTCCCTATTAACATAATTCCCTAATCTGACACACAGTCATTTAATGAAAGGAAAATATCTTAATTAAAACGTATGATTAGCTTTATCAATTCAAATGAAAATGACTCTCTAATTTAGACGTAGGCATAGAATTTTAAAGTTAGAAGAGGCCTTAAAGATCACCTAGTAAATGAATGGTTTTGGTAATTATTCTCCCCTGCTGTGTGCATTAGCATCTGCCCTGCATTCTGGGCTGTCAAATAGATACTTTAAAAAGAGAAAATATGGCCTTAGAAATATGGAAAGTTTTTGATAGTTGGACTTTTTAACAATCTTGCTAAAGTCCTCTGACCCTACAGTTCATGACATAATTATTTATTAGGCTTGGGATAGAATCATTTATGGCTTAGAGTAGATAATAAAAGGGATTACTACACAGGCAGTTTCTCCCTTAAACTCACAGTTTTTGTAATCTCTTTCCCTATGGCAACAGAGCAATTACTTTCCAGCATGTTGGTTCTTTTGTACTTTAAATATAGATAAATGTAATCATGCTGAAAACCTGGGGGTTAGCTAGTGCTCCTGAATTGAAATCCCAAACTGCAGAAAAGCATTGCTTTATGGCTTAGTTTTCTATAAGCGGGTTACAATGGTAACCAGTTCTCAGGCAAATCCATAACTACCACAGTTGTGAAGAATGAAGTTTCATATGCCTGAATCTTAATTAAAACATTATTTCCAGAAAATGGAATAACTTTGGCTTGTTTATGTATGTTATGTTTTAGAAATTACAGCTTGATTGACATACAAATAAAGTTAATGAAAAAATGTACCGGCTTGAGATGGGGAAGGAGGAAATCAGTACAATGGAGAAGAAACTCTGGAATTTTGTAAAAGAACAAATCAACTAAACGTATCACAGATAGAAACAAAATTACAGCAGAGAGAATGTGTTTTAAAACTAATATTGCCCAAGTACCCAATGGGCTTAGGGAATTTAAATTTGGGGTTTCATGTGAAAAAAGTCTACCTTAATGATTAGAACAACTGACTGAAGAAATTTCTAGAAGAATGGGGTATAAACGTGTCCTAAATGATAGTGAATCCCATCAAAAATGGAGTTTATTAAAAACACCATGAGAATTGGTGTGCTTTAGATGAATTACTTTATTTTTATTAGTTCCCAAATAGCTCACAAAACATTCTGAGTATGTAGTAACTGGCATAATTTATGGTAAAAATAATTTGTGTCAGCAGTGTATGTTCAGTATCATTATTGAAACAAACCCTGGATTTATTATCACTTAGGAAGACTGGAGAGCAAATAGTGAAAATATTTGAAGATTTTCTTCCCATCTTTTTAAGAATAATTTTAAACATATCATTTGCAGTTGTTATAATCTTTAATTCTCTCATCTGTATGGTAGAATGCAGTTCATAACTATCCTTTCGTAATTAAAGGGACTAAAGCAAGAAAATGTCTTTCTTAAAACAGGAAGTATGAAGCATTGTGAACACTGCTCTTCAGGAATGGCAGATATGACATTTTGAGACATTCTAATTTCTGCTGCTCAGCTCTAAAATTAAAAAGCAGTTATTGATGATGGAGTAGGTGGTTAACTTGGTAACATACATTATTATCTATTTTTAAGATTTGCAAATGCTGTTTCTTGTAATAGACTAATGCCACCTTTCATCCAATAGTTAAAGTAGTATTTCCAAACTAAATGTTCAATCATTAACTGCATAGTCACCTTCATCCTTACATTTTGAGGCCCTTGATATACATTGATACAGGTATTAATTTGAGTCCTATTGTGCAGAGAAGTAGAAATAAGACTAAAAACTATGTTTAAGACATCATCAAAAGCCTTGACTGTGTGAACCCCAATTATCTGAAACAGTCCTTGGTTAATTTAGAAAGTTTATTTTGCCAAGATTGAGGATGCACACCCATGACACAGCCTCAGGAGATCCTGATGACATGTGCCCAAGGTGGTCAGGGCACAGCTTAGTTTTATACATTTTAGGGAGATATTAGTTATCCATCAATATATGTAAGATATACATTGGTTCCGTCCAGAAAGGCAGGACAACTCAAATTAGGGAGGGGCTTCCAGATCACACATAGGTGAGAGACAAAAGGTTGCATTCTTTTGAGTATCTGATTAGTCTTTCCAAAGGAGGTAATCAGATATTCATCTATCTGATGAGTAGAGGGATGACTAAATAGAATGGGAGGCAGGTTTGCCCTAAGCAGTTCCCAGCTTGGCATTTCCCTTTAGCTTAGCAATTTGGGAGCCCTAAGATTTATTTTCCTTTCACATTTTTTACCTTTTCTTTTTTCTTTCTTTTTTTTCTTCTTTTTCTTTTTTTTTTTTTTTTTGAGATGGAGTCTCACTTTGTTGCCTAGGCTGGAGTTCAGTGGCACGATCTTGGCTGGCTCACTGCAACCTCTGCCTCCCAGGTTCCAGTGATTCTCCTGCCTCAGCTTCCTGAGTAAGTGGGACTACAGGCACGTGCCACCATGCCCAGCTAATATTTTTTTAAAATTATTTTTATTAGTATGAGTAGAGATGGGGTTTCACCATGTTGGCCAGGCTGTTCTCGAACAGCTGACCTCAGGTGATCCGCCAGCCTCTGCCTCCCTAACACAATTGTGAAAGGAAAATAAATCTTAGGGTCCCAAAATCACTAAGCTGAAGGGAAAAGCCATGCTGGGAACTGCTTAGGGCAAACCTGCCTCCCACTCTATTCAAAGTCATCCCTTTGCTTACTGAGATAGATGAATATCTGATTGCCTCCTTTGAAAAGGCTAATCAGATAAAACAAAGACTGATGTTCAGGTAGCAGACTTTCAATAGTAGTCTTTAAAAAATTAAAATGGTGAATAGCATCAAATCCAAAGGAAAGAGGAAACTGAGGATGAACAGATGATACTTCATTTGTGAATTAAGATACCATTAGCATTCTTAATCCATAATATTATTAGGGAAGAGATAAACAAGCCTAGAAATATTTTAATATTAAAAGTTAATTTCTAGAACTAGAGTTGTATAGAACAGAGGGCTTCAAATTTTGACCACAAACAAATGAGTTAACAACAACAGAGTCCACTACTCATATAAGTGAAACTATCTATTTATAAATTATATACATTTGCTACTCAACTAACATATCAACTACTTTATAAACCGTGTAACATGATTAGGCATTTTGAAATTCATTGAATAAAGCAGAGATAAATAAAATTTTGAAAATAATTATATCTCAGCTGATACAATGATGTCGTAAACATGTTGTTCTCAGTAAACAAAAAAAATTGGAAGAGGGAATAAAAACACAATCTTTAACAGTCCTCGCTGATAAGAGAAAAATACTAATTGTTAAGAAGACCTTGCCAAAAAGTCAACCAGGAGGTTTTGTCTCCTTCAAGATTAACTCAAAGTTTATGAGCATCCCTGTCTAATGAGAAGTTGCTAGTCTGAATAACAAAAGAAGGCAGTAGTTTATTTTAAAAGGGGGGAGGATTCCTGCTGTGGTTTATTATTCATATTATTTTGATCAAAACAGCTACTGTTTATCACTGAAGGGGAAGGAGATTTCTAAAGTGAATTCTCATCCTAGAAGGGGAAAAAATTCCCATTACAATTATCTCACTACTTCCCAGCATCTCCTCATGTCCCGAGGATAAAGAAAGGAAAACAATTTCAAAAGCTTTCAAAGGCAAGCAGATCATCCTGATAATACAGTAGATAGGAGTACTGTAAATTCTCTGAACATCGACCACTTCCAGATAACATTACAGTAATTTCATTTGAGCAATTTGCCCTTAGGATTAGTTTATTTTTGCATAGATTATTTGAAAATATTTTCAAGAAATATGCCTCCTTTTAAAAATAGAGATTGATTTGCATTTGCCATACGCACATAGGCATTCCAGTGGGAAGGGTACTATGTCACTAAAAAAATGTTTTTCACTTGACAAAGTTGCTGTTCACATTATTCTTTATTCTTATTTAATTATAAGGCTACTACATCACATTTTTCTCCCGTGTCAAGTAATACATAGATCTGAGGAAATGTATTTCCTCCTCCTATATTGCGTGTCTATATTTTATTTTTCAGTATGTTTATCAGGTGTTTATTTCATCATTAGCAGATTCTTAGTTGGACAATGGATCTGACATATAATTTTAAGTCTGAAAATTAGATAAATTTTAAACATCAGATTTAGGTGGAATATTGAGGTCTTGATTCACAGATGCAAACATATAATTCACTATGAGAGGTAAAAGATAGAAAAATAAACTGACAAGTGGAATCTACCTAGTGATAATCCTTAATTCAAAGGTCTCTACTGTGGCCTTGACTTGTCAATTTTGTTAATCAGCCACATCTTGAAAAGGGAAGCAAACTTAGCTATATCTCTTTGGAATTTCAGGATTTAATGTTAATTAATATCCGACTACAACATATTCAGAAGAAATAAACACTTGTTAAAAATCAAGCTGTAGGCAAGGTTGCATCTTCTCCCCTCACTAGCCAACGCTGTGACCTTAAACAAGTCACATAAACTCTAGGAGCTTCAGTTTCCTCATCACAGCAGGAGAAATTCTAAACTGGCTTAGATGGCATGGTAGGTCCTCATGGACTTTCCCTGACTAATTTGCTCAGCCTTATCTTTTTTTTTCCACCTTCTACTCACGTCCGCACTCCACACATTCACATCTGATACTCCAAGAATACTCAACTACTTGTAGTTCCCAGAAAATGCTCTATTTTCCCATACCTCCTGCCTTCACATGTGCTTCTCTTTGTGCTCAAAATGCTTCCATCTCAGCAGTCATTTTAAATTAGTTCCCTTCACTTTCAGCTTCCCCTGACGTGCCCCCTCCTCTGAGAAGATGCAGTGTTCTCTTAGGTGTGGGGTTTCTGCTGGCGATGTGGATACTATACCTTTTCCCTCTGCTTTTCATGACTTTAATGACTTGAACTTTATCAAGGATCTGATTAAGGCTATGCTCTCAAGGGAATGAGCTTTTTCTCCCTTTTCATACATAGAAGATGCTTAACACTTTTATTGAATATGCCTACAAAATGGATGTATTGAATGTATTTGTCCAAAAAAGTAATAAAATGTATTTACCATTGCATATTAAATATTGAATATCAAATAACATTCTAAAAATGTTTACTGAGCAACCACTATGCACTCGAGCAATTAATAAGTACTAAAAACATAAAGCTGAATAATGCAGAATCCTTGTTCTAGTTGTGCTCATCACCAGAGGTGGAGGCAGGACTGTAAACAGACAAATAAGAGAACAATCCCGTGAGTCCTTCTCAGGGATAAGCAGAGTTTCTTGTACTATTCAAGGCCAGATATTAGACAGACTAACACTGCCTAGCAGACATAGGCAAGTTTCACCAAGCCGATGAAATTGATCTTGAACTTTTGGTGAGAGAAAGGAAGAAAGGTCATTTTAGAAGTGAGTGGAATGTGCAAAGGTAAAGAGGCTGGAACATATTTTTTTTGGGGCGGGGGGGCGGTGAGGACAGCGAGATCTGTGGAGTGGGGCATAACTTGCATGCATAGGGTGAGTTGAGTGGTCAGCGAGTCTACAAATATAGATGTGAGACTTGGTTCTACAACTTTGTTGATCACTAGGTGATCTTAAACAAGCTGCTTAAATTTTCTAAGCCTGTCTCTTATTTCTGCAAGACAATACTAAGAACGAATCTATCAGTGATAGTGATAAGAATAAGTCAACCCTTCTTTCTGGTTTTTCCTCCTTCTAGGAACAAAGACAGGTCTTCCTAGTCACCTTATGGTTGAACCAATTCTGACCAATGATTTGTCAGCAGAAGTGATGAATGTTATGGATAATCCGCAATGTTTAATAGTGGGTGTGAGACACCCTTCTCTCACTTCTCTTTTCCCTCTGACACGTCAAAAACTGAGATGTTATTTGCTTCCTGAGACTGACCTCTGAGGCACTACAATTAACAGAGCTTCCCTACCTCCCCCAAGATTTTCTAATTTGAGGAAGAAATAAGCCTTTGTTCTCTGAGTCAGTAAGGTTTGTGTGGTATTAGTTACCTGAGAATAACCTTGTCTATCCTAGTCTATCCTGTATTCAATCGCTAAAGTTAAATAAAATAAAATATAAGAAAACATTTTATTTGCCAGAAATCACTACATAAATATTTATTGTTATACTCTTAATTACAATCAGGTGTCAAAATGTTGAAAATTACAATACATTAAAAGGAATATCAGGAATGTTTTCTAATGGGAAAAATTGGGAAGATAATTTAAACATGATTTTTTATATAGTATACGTATCAAAAATTCTTTTTGGATAGTTCTTTAAAGATTGTTGTCTTACAATTGTAAATTATTGTAACATTTGCAATATTATCACTTTTATTTAAGCTCTGGATCACACCAATTTCATTCCAAAATTAAAACTTTTCATTATCTTATACATGTACTTATAACTCTATTTTTGCATTAATAAGGGAAACAGTATCAAAATCTCTTGTTAATAAAATCTATTCAAAAGTGACTCTGACCTCTGGGTATATTTGTGGTTTTAATGGTTGACAGTTTATTAAAATGAAATGAATTTTATTGATGTCTAGTTTACCAGTTTATTGTGAACTTTAAAAAGCAAAAATAAAGTTAGTAGTATGCTGGCACACAGCAGGACTTAAATGTGTTCCCCTCTATTAAACTAATTATAATTATATTTGATATAAAATGGTCTCTTAAAAATGAGCTAGAAACTAACTTTTGACTATGAGCTTATAAAAGGGTTATAATTTGTCAAGAAGTCATCAGATTAAGTTTTGAGTCAGATAAGAAATAGATTTTAAAAATAGCAGGATCTCATAAACTGCTGTATGAGCAGATCAATTATTCCCCAATATGGAATAACTTCTAGAGCTGTAGGAGAAGGTTTGGATATAATGAGGCTTCAGGAGGGAGAAATTATTAAGTGAGTGCCACACCATTCAGGGGACTTGTCTGCAAAGATTTGACTTTCATACCTCAAGCAGCCAAACAAAGTGTGAGTAGTCGTTGCCACTGCATAGTGATTTTTGTGCTGTATGTGTGGATCTCTTTATTTCCATTAACTTTTAGGGTCACTACATTTTGAAATTTGGTGGGAGTGAAAGGATCCACTCCCTTTGCCAAGTAACAAATTAGCATCTTACATTGTTTAATAACTGCATCCAATTGCAAATGTCACCAAACAGCTATTAAACAGCAAGTCCCATGCACAGAAACTTAATGGTGCATGACACTGCTGATTAGATGCTGTTTTTTTTCTGAAAGGGTGATTATTCTTAGAAGGAATATTTCATTACCCTTAATCTGGGTCCAGTTTATGCACCCATAACCTGAAGCCTAATAAGGTGTGTAACCAAACAAACCTCAATATAAATCTATCAGTGTTTGTGTATTATCTTGGTGAACCATCTGTATGATGGAAATGCACTATTCTAAGTTATGTGTCAGAGCTTATTAAAAGTCTCATCAATTGCATTGTTGAAATTTTAAAAAGGTTCTACTATTTTAAAGCATGATTTGTATTACCCTTCACTTGAAACAAAGCAGAGATCTCTGCAGTTTCCAAGCAACACATCTTTTTCAATTACTATTTAGCACTGAATTCTGTCTCTAGATTTTAAATGCACTTCCCTTGTTCAGTATGTGTATATTTAGAGTCTTGCCAAAGAATAAAACTATTGCGTTACTTTGCCTGAATCTGATGTATGTCATGTGTAAACCACCTGTAAGCAAGATAAATACATTAGGACATTCAAAACTGAATTACATCAGTTGAACTTACTTTCAGTGAAGGAAGAATTCAATTTAGTTAAACTTCTATTCAAAAAGGATTTATACTGGTTGGAGTTTTCATCTTATTTAAGAAGGAAATAGACTAAAATTTCAGAACCCAAATACCATGTTCACCCTTATAAATTTTCTAAGATAATAACAACTACATAACAAAAATAAGGTTTGCTTTGATTAAGGCAGCTCATAGATATGATGATGACAACAATGATGATAGATATATGTGCTTATCATGTGATTGGCCTTGACCTAAGTTTTTGACATATATTAGCTTTATTAATGCACAAATTAATGCCTAGATTGATAGGTAAGTTGGTTACTAGCATAAGCCTCACTTTAGAGATAGGAAACAGAGAGAGTTTATATGATATTCCCAAGGTCAATAACTTAATGAGTGGCAGACCCAGTATTTAAACCAAGATAGTCTGATTTGGAACAATGAAATAATAAATATATATGCCAAAATTAATTGTCATAATTTATAGCCTTAAAGTTAAATCTAATAATCTCTCAAAATAAATTACCAAATACTTTCAGCATATCCAAAATTAGTTCTGAGATTTGGAGCAAAAATTGTACAATAATTGCTTTGTTTAAAAAGCAGCTATGATTTCCTAATACACCTTATTGTGGAAGATATTACCAGAAGAAAAATAATATTAGACATATTTTCTTCCTCATGAAATGGAATTTCACACCTACTTTCCATAAACTCTCAGTGTTCCAAGGGCCACTCTTAACCTCTTTCTACAGAAGATACACTGCTGTTTTCATGTTACGGAGTGAATTTTCCCTGGAAAAATAACAGATGCAAGGCACAGAAAAGGCTCTACAACCTGGCCGTTGTGGCAAACGAGAGATTCTCTATCAACTGGTCCTGGAAAAAACATTGTGGATGGAGTCTCTTTCTCATTGTGTATTTCTCTGTAGGTTTGTATGTTACTGGTATCTGTGAGGCTAGATGAAAAACCAAACTTAATCAAAATCCATCAGTTCATCCTGTATTATACTTTCTATTCATTTGCTTTAACAGATACGAGTTGGCTTTTCCATACGCAGACAGTAATTTATAAACTTTTTAGCTTCTATAATAAGTGTCCTGTAACACATTTTGATAAAAATGACACAATCCAGAAGACAAAAATTAGCTTCTGAAAAAATAAGTTTAATGCTTTTGGTGAGTTTCTTTGAGTAAGTAGACAGAATTTGTATATAATAAAATGAGAATCTGCAAGAAATGTAACAGTTTTGATATAATTACCCAGTACAGCAATGTAAACTGCTTAGCAACATCCACTTAGCAGCCAAAAAAAAAAAAAAAAAAAAAAGAAGAAGAAGAAGAAACAAAGAAAGAAAAATAGGTTACCATGGATATATAAAAATAGAGCTGCATGGCTAGAAATTTTTTGTGTATTGGTGTTGGGAATAGGTATTCTATGCTCCACTTCACCAAAGTCCAAAATAAATGGGATAATTCTGAAGTTTTACTTTTGGTGCCTTGAAGCCGAGGATGTAGAGGGGCTCATGCTCACCCATAATATAAATATATGTATGCTACTCCATTTCTTGCACTCTTAAAAAGTCATGGATTTTCTACTATATGTTTATAACCTAATGTACATGGAATGAAATTCAAAAGGAATAATTTAAATGATTAGGAATGGTATTCCATGTGTTTTGAGGTAGGACCATGTCTATTTCTTGAAGGCAGAATGGTTTAAATAATCTTTTCATTTTTGGCTACCACTTTGTGCCCATGGTTAATCTCAGTGTCTGGTACAGAGCAAATAGGGCATCTGATAAAATATTGTTGAATGTGCTCAGCATGGTGGCTCATGCTTGTGAAACTAGCACTTTGGGAGGCCAAGGTGGGTGTATCACTTGAGGTCAGGAATACAAAACCAGCCTGGCCAACATGGTGAAACCCCATCCCCAACTCTTCTAAAAAAAAAAAAAAAAAAAAAAATATTAGCTGGGCATGGTGGTGCATGCCTGTGATCCCAGCTACTTGGGAGGCTGAGGCAGGAGAATTGCCTGAACCTTGGAGGCGGAGGTTGCAGTGAGCTGAGATTGTGCCACTGCTCTCCAGCCTGGGCAACAAGAGTGAGGTTCTGTCTCATAAACAAACAAACAAAAAAAAAAAAATTGTCAAATGAAGAAAATAATTCTTAAGGGTCCAGCCAACCAGCATAGTCTGCCTTCACAGTAGCAAGAAGAGACATTAGGAAAACCATTATTAACGTGACTATCACTCAGACAATGAAACAATGCTTTATCCTAGCCAAAGCAGGCATACTTCTTCTTGGCAAATGAGAAGGAGTGGCAGATGGCTCTGTGTTGTGTATGTGTGTGTATGTGTTTGGGGAGAGGGCAGTTTGTGGGGGAAGGGTGAGCAAAAATAAGGACATCAGCAAAAATCTCTATGAAAAACAATTTTTTCAGTTTGTTTTACTTCCAGATTTACCATCTGTAATCCATTTCCTCTGTCACAGCCAGAGTTAACATAAAATTTATGTTCTGAAACATAAATTTTATCAGTATTCTCTCCTCACATAAATTTCTTTAATTTGCACTCCATATTCCTACATTATAAGCATCATCTTTCCCTTTACCACCACCCATGTTACTTATGGTCCAATCATACTAAAAATGATTATGCTTGTATTGAGAAAAATACATATTAGAAAACTCTGAAATGTTAAGTATCTAAATCTGTCATCATCAGTATATCTATTTTTAGCAACTTCCCCTCCTATTTACCCAGCGGAAGTGTCTTTTTCAGAAAACATACTCCGTCCCAAAGTACTTTTCTATTCATCCATATGCAATTTCATCTCTTCTTTGCTCCCTTCTCAAGAACTGTATATGCTATCAAATGTGCCCTGTGCTTCCTTGTATCTTCAAACTTTCCCACTTTGGTGCATCCTTCTAGTTATCATTTAAACATAATTTAGTACTTTTCGTAAAAAAATTCCTTCCACAGTCCATGTTCTCCTTTTAGCTATGATTCTCCACTTCTTCTCCTTCCATATACTCCACAACTCAACTTATTCCTGAGTCAATAAGATCGATGTGAATTCTTTTGCTTCAGTCATCAATGTCTTCAATCATACTGAGGAAAGAACTGGATTCTGTTGACTGCTTCCTCTACCATGAAACAGTTTACTCTCTGGGTTACTGTAATTTTCATTGTTTATTTATACCCCTCTTATCCTTATTGGTTACCCTTCCTGGATTCTCCATTTCTGTTGAAACTTTAAATACAAAATTTCCTCAGGGTTTTGTCCTACACACTTTTTGATTCTCAAACTATACCATTCTTGTAGAAAGTCTCATAATATCCCATGGAATAAAAAAAATCATATATATGTTGACAAGCTCCAAATTTATAACTCCAGCTGGGGCCATATTACCAAGTTCCATGCACATATATCTGACTGCCTATCCAGCATCTGCACTTGTGCAATACTTAAGCATCTCACACACAATCCGTCCAATTCGAAAACTTGGTCATACTTTTCTTCCCCTTTCCCTCCTCAACCATCCTTTCTCCAATGTTTCCTTTCTCCATTGATAGCCTCATTACTCAAGAGTTGTCCTCCATAACTACTTCCTTCCTATATCTAATAAATCACTGAATCTCACTCTTTCTATATGTGATTATTTATCAATTCTGTCTCCTTCTCTTCCTTTCCACTGTAATCACTCCAGGCCAAGCCAATGACAATGCTGTACATATGAGTACAGTGGCTTCTAAGTTTGTCTCCAAACATCTTCTCTGACTTTCTTCTAACCTACTGTTCATAGAGATGCTAGAACGATCTTCAGGAAAGAAAAATCCTGCCAATGTAATTATGCCGGTTCTCCCCTTAATATGTTTTCAGTTCCCACTGGTTTTAAGATGAGATTCAAAGTCTTTCATCTGGCTGAAAAAGGCGATAGCGTTCATCACTGCCTAGCTCATAAACTTTATCTTAATCAACTCTTACAAATCTAATTGTTGCCACTTTGGTCTCCATTTCTTTGCTTAAATGAGCATTCACCTTCTCTCCTGAGAACATAGCCATACATATCATTTTGTCAAAAGGCTTTCACTATCCCTTTTAACCTTGAAAGTTTCTATGCACCTTGCAGGTCTGAGATTAAGTCCTGCCATTCTGGAAATCTATCCCTGACTCCCAAGGCAATTTGGCGATATTCTCCATTATAATCTCTTACTGTATTTTACTTTTTCTTCATGTTCATCAGATCAATTGTAATGAAATACAAATTTATGAAATTGTCTGTTGAATATGTATATACCCTTACCAGCTATGAATTCCATGTAACTAGCAACCTTGACTTTATTTTCATCATTCCTTCCCCAGCATCATTTCTGCCATATAATACACACCAAGTAAAAATCTATGAAATGGATGTTGAATAAATTATGCAAGTATTTTACTGAAGCATTTTTTCCCCTTAGCAGGATCTAAAGAATTTAGCAGAAATCAGAGGAACAAGTCAACTGCAGCATTTAGTGGAGTTTTCTTCTGATTTTCAATTTTCTAGCCTTCAGTGTCCCACAGGTTTATAAAGACTTAATATTAGTGAGTTACTAGATTGGTGGCTCTTCCTATTATGTAGTGCACCAAATATCCTATGAGATATTACTTTTGACTTTGAAAATTAGATGAGATAGCAATACCTCATAATACCTACTTTATATCGTGATGAACTAGAAGGTCAGGGTAATGTAAATGTTCTTAGTGTGTGTGTATATATTTAATCTCTTCATTCAAAATTTCAATAAAAGAAGTTAAAGGCTATTGGTATCATTTAAAACATAAAAACAATAACAAAAGGCTGAACAGATGGAACACACAGCAGGGGACAGGAAGACCTACAGTATAATGGTGTTTTACTGTTGCAAAATCATTCAGATGACAATGTTCGCAAATGTACAACATTCAGGTACAGAGACTCAAATGCATCAAAATCACTTACCTTGAATAACCGTACTCTTGACATACATAGCAATAGGCCTGTGTGAAGATATTTAACAACCACAATTTTCTGAAAATTGTGGACCGAATAGTAACTTGTACTGAAAGTATATGTTTATACTCAGAGAGACATGATATAATAGAGCTAGAATGGAGTGGAGTAGAGATTAGGAGGCAATCTTTAAAAAGGTCTTTACTCCTGTAATGTATTTGCCTAAATCAATCTATTCCTCCAAAGAGAGTGTGGAAGAGACAAATACAATGTTCTCCTGGGAGGAGTTAAAGCATTTTGTTCCATTCATACAGCAATTATAATAACATCATTTGGATTCAGTTAGAGACTGTTTAAGCACTGCTTAAATATTTGCAATACCAAAAATCAAGTTAAAATGGAAAGACTCTGTTGTATTCAAAATCATTTTAAAAACATATGTTTTTATCAATTTGTAGAATATTTAAATAAATGACTGCATTCTTCCTGATTCCATTAGTGTTTCTTCTCATAAGCTCCGAAACTTAATACACCATCATACACACAGAAGCAGCAGAGCATGGAAGAATGACAAGTACCTACATGCAAATTCTACTTTTAAGAGTGTGAGCAATCTCCATGGGACACATCACTTAACATCTCTGAGATAATTATATATACCTTGCAGCAAGGTTATGAAAATTTGAAATAATAAATATAAATTGACCAATCATGCTTGGCTCATATTGACACAGAATAAATGGCAGATATATTAACTAGAAGGTCAAAAATAATTCTTGTCTATATTTCTGCATATTATTTGTTTTCTGGGGGGCTTTATACACAAATGTGATCTTGCTCACATGGCTTTCAGGGATATCATAGAGTTAGTGCAGTGTCTTTTCCAAGGTTTTGAATGAAGGGTGGCTGGGGAATACTCCTGAGAAAAAGCTTTTTCCAAGAAAAGAGAAAATTAAATGTCTAGCACAGGGCAATGAGTCATTGATTTTAAGAACAGCTATTTTTAAGTAGTGCTCTGCCATTCATAAGCATGTGGCTAGGCAGCAGCTACAATAAAATTCAAGTACAAACTAAAACAGTTGCATTCGTTTACCAAAATTTCACATATCAATAAGGGTACTAATTGGTCTGTCTTGTTCACTTTGTATTTATAAACAGTACCACGGTGCTTACCATAAAGTTGGCACCCCTCAGCTTGTTTACTAAATGAATATGGGTGTTGAGTAAAATGAAGTTTGGGTACGTAGTAATAATTAATCCAAGATTAAAATGCCATAACAGCAGGATCAAGTTAGTCGTTTTCAGCAGTGTTTCCTGGCCTTTGATAAACATTTGTCAAATGGAAATCATAAATACCTATTGTTATTGATTAGACCTAGACAGACACAGAAGACAACACGCTTCAGTGTGTTTACAGCCTTCTCAGGACACCTTACCACATGGAGATAGACCATGATAAAACAATAATACTGACCAAGCACGCTCTTTTATTATGCCACGTTGGCTGCTGGTATGAGAAATCATAAGCATACTTTAGAGCATGTGAAGGGGTTGGCATTTTTATAGATCAGATGACTTAGGAAATACAGAGATGTCTATTCTTACTATTATTATTAATATGATCCAATTTTCTGTTCAAAATTCGTTGCATAAAACAACATAAGTAACATCTAGGTAACCAATAAAATTGTTCATTTATGTGATGAATTAGAAATTCTGGACCAAGCGTGTTGGCTCATGCCTGTGATCCCAGCACTTTGAGAGGCTGAGGCAAGAGGATCACTTGAGCCTAGGAGTTTAAAACCAGCCTGGGCAACATAGTGAGAACCCATCTCTACAAAAAATAAAACAAACTGTCTGGTGTGGTGACATGTGCCTGTAGTCCCAGCTACTCAGAAGGGTGAGGTGAGAGGATCCCTTGAGTCTAGGAGTTTGAGGCCGAAGTGAGCTGTGATCATGCCGCTGCCCTCCAGCCTGGATGACAGAGTGAGACTCTGTCTGTAAATATATGTATATATAAATAAATAAATTCTGGATCAAAAAATTTCAAAGAAGAAGAGATCAGTGTCTATACATTCACTCTTTCACAAAACAACACCATACTATGCTTTTCAGTGATACTCAAAATATATAGAAATAAATTTGTCATCAACTTCTATGTGTGATTTGGCAAGGAGTGGGATGGCGCTAGAGACAGGTGATATAGGATGGTTAATGAATAAGAGGCATTTGAGTGTCAACCCTCTTAAGAAAATATTTTCCACCTCTATAAAATAATGGAAAATTATAGAAAAAGAACAGAAATACTTGGGAGAATTGTGGAAGAACAGAGAACACTCCTCACACAGGAAAATAAAGTAGCAGAAAGGGAGAAGATTAATATTTAAATAGTGCCAGTTTTGTGCTGGGCACTTTACATAGTCTGTAACATACAACTCTCACAAAACTCTCATGAATATTTTAATCCCCAGATCTCTCAAATACAAGAGCTTAATGTCATTGTCTTGTTAACTTCAGAGCTCATGTTCACACAGCCTCAGCCTGGGCTCTAGAATCTCTGCGGATGCCTACCATAATTCAATAAAGGGGCTCACTAGGAAAAGCCAAGATGTGCCTTCTAGTGAAGGGCAGAAGGTAGATTGCAGGCAGAGGAAATCTGGTTCTAAAGTACATAGCAGAGCTTGTCTGCAGGTACATGGAACTGGACACTAAGACTTCTTGTCCAAATCTTAAATGGGGCACAAGATGGCTGACAGAGATGACGCCTGGCAAAATAGAATCAGGATATCTTCTGATTCTAGGTCTGGATGTTTGCTGGTATACAAGCATGGTAAGTTTCTGAAGATATACTCATTTGCATACCTTGAATTTATGTGTTTGTCTATGCATACATAAACAGACATCCATAAATACAGATACAAAAAATATCTTATTTCAATGTTTACAAAAAATCAGTGTCCAGTGTGCACTTTTATAACAAAAGAATCTGGACCTAGCCCAAAGGGAGTCAGAGAGAGCTTTCCCAGTGAAATGGCATTTATTAAGTGGTCTTTTGAAAAACAGAAGAATCTAGCCATAGTTACACGCAATAGGTAAATAGAAATGTGTACAAAATGGTATAGAGGTCAAGGAAGTGTTCACAAATAGACAAGGACATTGAGAGACCAGCTAGATGGTAGCTTCTCTTGCGAGCATAGTTTGTGAGTGCAATAGAGACATTTATTAAAAATATACAAAGTCAATAACTTCTACAAGGCAGCAAATGGTAAAATCTCTCATCTTAAGTTAATATTAGTCATAATGCAACTTTTTGCAGAAATACAAGATATTCTTTATGATTAGATTACTTAAAGGGATGTCCTGCTGTGAGAAAAGTTTTTTTAATTGGCTATTTTCCTATACTTTGTGAAATGCACTTTTTAAGAACTTGCTCTTTAGCAGTAAAATTGACATTTTGCTATGCTTGCAGAGCCTCTATTATAATGGGACACAAGGACTTTGTCAGAGATAGAACAGATAGCCCATTGGAGATTTATGTACAATTTTCTAAACAAATAAGAACAGAATTTTTCAAGCTGGCTCAAGATGTTGTTTCCTCTGATTAAGAACTGGTTGGGAGAGAGAACAAGAATGTGACTAAAGTCTGGACTATTCAATTATTTACAAAATTTACTCTTTTATGGCATTTGTTCTCAAGGCGCCGTCTACCAACCAGCAGCTTCAGAATCACCCGGGAACTTATTAGAAATGAAAATTCTTGGGTCTCACCCCAGACCTCCTAAATCAGAAACTCTTGGAATGGACTCAGTACTCTGTGTTTTCTAAGCCCTCCAGGTGACTCTAGGGATGCTGTTTTGACAACAAATGCAACTGTTCACTTTAACTTCCCTGTTAATTGGAAATTGCACAAAAAGAGACCATAAGTATCTGTATTAGTCACGGTTCTCCGGAGAAACAAAATACACACACACATCCACAGAACTCAGAAGAGTACCTGGCACAGAATACTGGCTCTTGTGATTATGGAGGTTGAGAAGTCCCATGATCTACAATCTGCAAGCTGGAGGGGGAAGCCAGGAAGGCAGGTGGAGTAGTCTGAGCCCTGAGAACCAAAAGTGAAAGAAGAAGATGGATGTTGCATCTCAAACAGATAGAGGGAGTGTGGATTTAAACTTTCTCCACATTTGTATTCTATTTAGGCTTTCAAGGGGTAGGATGTTGCCTATCCACATTGGGTAGGGCCATGTGCTTTACTCAGTCCATCAGTTCAACTGTTAATCTTTCCAGAAACACCCTTACAGACACATCCAGAAATAATGTTTAATCACATGTCTGGGCACCCCATGGCTCAGTCATGTTAACACATAAAATTAACCATCACAGTACCTACGGACCCCTTTAATGCATCTACTCCTATCTTAGCATAGCTCTTGCACCTGCTGTCAGCATCCCCCAGCAACCTGTATATTATATCCTTTCTGTAAATACACAAGGTGCAGCAATTGTGCATGTTCACTTTACTTCACTCCAGCATTGCCTCCTCTTTATTCTTCGATTGAGGGCCATCTGGCTTCTAACCCAGAGAATTTGCTTCACTTAGGTAACCCCAGGGAGTTCTTCATTGGCAAGTGTCAATTTATGGTCTTGAGTTACATGATAGTTTGTTTACTAGCTGTCTCCTATTAGAATTTTATCTCGTTAGGAATGTGATTTTTTCTGTCTTGTTCACTATTGTATTTACAGCAAATAGAAGAGTAGTTGGCGCAGATTTGTTGCTAAATTCATTTTCTGAATGACTTAATGAAATAACTTTTTCTCCTTACTCCTCTGACTCAACACCTTTGAAGCATTTTGCAAGATTAACAAACTTCAATAAAACTAACATTCAAAACTATCAAATCCCCACATTTGATTTTGAAGGTATTTCAGTCCCTGGCTTTTTGCATATGCTTCTCTGTCTTGTTTTTCATTCCCTTGTGCTGGAGATTCTTTTTCTATTTGTTTCTGGGTAAACTCTTTCATTCTTAGTGCACCCTAACATCATAGAGAGGCAGCAAAAGATAGCAATTTAGGAAGACAAATCCTGAAATTTCACCCCTGGCAAATTAACTTTTATAAGCTTTACTTTTCTCATCTGCAAATTGGTATCTTTATATTGTTCATCCTGCAGTATTATTTTGAGAACAAAATGGAATAACATTTGTAAATTACGGCACCTGGCTCTCACTACATTTTTTGTTCTTTATTAATGTTTCTCTACAAATGATTGAAATCACTAACCTCCAACATTTTTTTTTAGTTTATTTATTTAAGCTTTTTATTTCCATAGTTTTTCGGAAACAGGTGGTATTTGGTTACATGCATAAGTTCTTTAGTTGTGATTTGTAAGATTTTGGTGCACCCATCACCTGAGTAATATACACTGAAGCCAATTTGTAAACTTTTATCCCTCACCCCTTCCCACCCTTGCCCCCTGAGTCCCTGAAGTCCATTTTATCATTCTTATGCCTTTGTATCCTCATAGCTTAGCTGCCATTTATAAGTGAGAACATATGATGTTTGTTTTTCCATTCCTGAGATACTTCACTTAGAATAAGAGTCTCGAATCCCATCCAGGTTGCTACCAATGCTATTAATTTGTTCCTTTTTATGACTGAGTACTATTTCATCATATATATATATATATATATATATATATACACCACAGTTTGTTTATCCACTAGTTGATTGATGGACATTTGGGCTGGTTCCACATTTTTGCAATTGCGAGTAGTGCTGGTATAAACATGCTTGTGCAAGTATCTTTTTTGTATAAGGACTTCTTTTCCTCTGGGCAGATACCCAGTAGTGGGGCTGCTGGATCAAATGGTTGCTCTACTTTTAGTTCTTTAAGGAATCTTCACGCTGTTTTCCATAGTGGTTTTAGTAGTTTACATTCCCACCAGCAGTGTACAAGTGTTCCCTTTTCACTGCATCCACCCCAACGTCTATTATTTTTTGAATGTTTTATGATGGCCACGGTTGCGGGAGTAAGGTGGTATGGTATTGTGGTTTTGATTTGCATTTCCCTGATCATTAGTGATGTTGAGCATGTTTTCATGTTTGTTGGCCACTTGTATATATTCTTTTGAGAATTTTCTATTCATGTCCATAGCCCACTTTTTGATGATATTGTTTGTTTTTTTTCTTGCTACTTGTGATGGTTAATACTGAGTGTCAACTTGATTGGATTGAAGGAAACAAAGTATTGATCCTGGGTGTGTCTGTGAGGTTGTTGTCAAAGGAGATTAACATTTGAGTCAGTGGGCTGGGAAAGGCAGACCCACCTCTAATCCGGGTGGGCACAATCTAATCAGCTCCAGCGTGGTTAAAATATAAAACAGGCAGAAAAATGTGAAAAGAGAGACTGGCTTAGCCCCCTAGCCTACATCTTTCTCCCATGCTGGATGCTTCCTGCCTTCAAACATTGGACTCCAAGTTCTTCAGTTTTGGAACTCAGACTGACTCTCCTTGATCCTCAGCCTGAAGATGGCCTATTGTGTGACCTTGTGATCATGTTAGTTAATACTTAACAAACTCCCCTTTATATATATTTCATTAGTTCTGTCCTTCTAAAGAACCCTAACTAACACACTACTTATTTGAGAACCTCGTAGATTCTGGATATTAGCCCTTTGTCAGATGTATAGATTGTGAAGATTTTCTCCCACTCTGCATGTTATCTATTTACTCGGCTGACTGTTCCTTTTGCGGTGCAAAAGTTCTTTTGTTTAATTAAGTCCCACCTATTTATCTTTGTTTTCATTGCATTTGCTTTTGGGTTCTTGGTCATGAAATCTTTGCCTAAGCCAATGTCTAGAAGGGTTTTTCCAATGTTCTAGAATTTTTATAGTTTCAGGTCTTAGATTTAAGTCCTTGATCCATCTTGATTTGATTTTTGTATAAGGTGAGAGATGAAGATCCAATTTCATTCTCCTACATGTGGCTGGCCAATTATCCCAGCACCATTTGTTGAATAGGCTGTTCTTTCCCCACTTTATGTTTTTGTTTGCTTTATCAAAGATCAGTTGGCTTTAAATATTTGGGTTTATTTATGGGTTCTCTGTTCTGTTCCATTGGTTTATGTGCCCATTTTTATACCAGCACCATTCTGTTTTGGTGACTATGGCCTTATAGTACAGTTTGAAATCAAGTAATGTGATGCCTCCAGATTTGTTCTTTTTGCTTACTCTTGCTTTGGCTATTAAGGCTATTTTTTGGTTCCACATGAATTTTAGGATTGTTTTTTCTAGTTCCCTGAAGAACGATGGAGCCTCCAACTTTTAACTGCATTTCAGATCTACATTTGCCATTTCCAATTTGACATCAACTCAGAGATATTACTTGAAAACTTTCTGCTTAACTCGTCTGACATCAAGCTCATCAGTTTTTCTCCTAACTCCCCAAGGCAGATTACTTAGCATCTTTGACTCAATGTTATTTTCCCATCTTTAATGTCTGATCAATAATCCATTAGTACTTCATTTTAAATTAGCTGCTCATTATCTTTTTTACACCCAAAATAGTTTTCCATTTCCACTGCTACCTCACTAGTAAAAATATTTAGATGTGCCTATTACAATAGGCTGAAAATGCTGCATGTGACCTCTCCTTCCTTAAGAGATACTTCAGGATTTTCAGCCAGAGAGCTTCTTTTGAAATACAAATATGATATTATGATTATTTGTTTCCTTCTCATTTCTCATAGCAAAAGTGGAATGTCATGTCAATGATCACTTTTCTAGTTGAGGAGTTTTAAGCTTGTTTAGTGTAGTCCCAATCTTATACTGTATAGGGAACTTTTCTCTCTGAATCATGCTGGAGATACTGGGTACAAGTGCTCTAGGATGGCCATCAAGGGTAGTGATGATGCTCATGCAAATCCCATGGCCTGGAGGAAGGTCAGGTGGCCCCACATTTTGTCCTGATAGGAGATCCTAGGTGTTTGAAGAGGACTGCACTCAAATATATTTGATGAGTTCAACTCAATTATTTCCTTCTAGATTCCCTCTCTCTTTCTGTTTTGTTTTGTTTTTTTTTGTTTTTTTTTTATTATTTTCCTATTATGTTTTCAAGTTTCCCCAGTTCCCATAATGTAACATCCTCTCCTTCAGGCAATTTAGGGTTCCCAGGTCCTCATCTTCTTTATCTTTCCAATTGGTTGTTGTTGTTAGTGGTGATGCGGTGACGTGGAGCCAGGGACAAACAAATAAAAAACCTTGTCATTTTTTTGTCATTTCATTAATACCAGAGTATGAATTTGTTCTTTTTCACTAAATGACAGAAAGAGCTTTAACTTTAAATATTCCCAGAATGTGAGAAAAAATATTTGCCCTATAACTTTCTGATGCATTCATGAAAGGAAAACAAAAATATTGCAAGTGTGGTTGCATGTCCAAATTCTACTATATTAAGAGAGAGAGTAATTCTTAACATAGTGTACAATATCATTCCTCGTCCTGCCCTCCTTCTTATTATCTTCTGAAGTCACCACTGAACTTACCCAAGCATTTCTTAAACTTTCTATGCGCTGTTCTGCCACTGAAATTGTATGCACTCTACCTTGAAATATGCTTCCCTTTCTTCTTCACTTAGTAGTTAACCACTGTTCTTCCTTCTTAACTATAGTTGCTTCTTCTTAACTAGGTTAATAAAACCCTCTATTGTATATGTTAATAGCATTTCATTCTTATGTGAAAGACTTAACAAACACTCAATACATGTGAATAAATCCACAATTAATAAATACTAACTTATTTTTGTGGAATCTGTGGTCTAAGTTTGAAATCTTTAATATTATTGTGTTTTCTTTTTTCCTCCACCATTACTGCTCTGCTGCCAAAAATGAGGCTTTTGTTCCCTATTTTGCTAATAAACTTCTTGACTCAAATTTCCTCCCTAGGCAGTTTCTATTTCTGGCTGAATATAGGAATATATGCCCAAACCTCAAATAAGGGTTAGTTAGTTTTCTGCTCAAAATATTCTTCATGTGCATAAGGAAAACACACCAATATCTAAGCATGAAATTGCAAGTATTCTTTAGTGTGAACTCTGTCCTTGTCATATTTACCCTACTTACAGCATCTGCACAATGTATCTTCAGTGACAACTATGTCAAAATATCTGCTATTCATCAACATATACTGCAACTTCCTAAGGATTGAAAATTAAATAAATATGCACAATTGAAACTGAAAACCTACTGGACTTAGCGTGGGATGGAATCAAAGAATTAAAGGGACTGAGGGGACATAGTTTCCCTTCATGTCACAATGTGAACTACCCTCCCTACCACACATATTTTACTTCTCTGTCTTCCTCTTTATGTATTATTTTTTATTCCTCTTAATAATCATTCTCTATTTGCATTTTAAGTAATGTGGATTTATTTGAAAATATGTTGTAAATAAGTGTTATGAATTATATTGCTGATCTTTATAGTAAAACTTCAGCCAGTCAAAAGAGAAATCTGAGTTTATAACTTTATGCATCAAAACAATAACATTAACTGTTATCCCAATATTTCGGGAGACTGAGGCAGAAGGATTGCTTGAGGTCAGGAGTTCCAGACCAGCCTAGGTAGCATATTGAGACCTTTTTTCTACAAAATAATAATAATAATTAATAATAATAAATTAGCTGGGCATAGTGTCACACACCTGTAGTCCTACCTACTTGGAAGACTGAGGTGGGAGGATGGCTTGAGCCCAATAATTTGAAGCTGCAGTGAGCAGTAATCGTGCCACTGCACTCCAGCCTGGGAAATAGAGTGAAAATCTGCCTAAAAAACAAGACAAAACAAACAAATCCCAATAACTTTAAAAATGAAAAATAATTGGATATTTTTCTTATTAGGACAATTGGATATGCCTGTAGAGTTAAAAGAATTCTTTGTCTATTTACTTACTGACTGTATATGAAACACTGTAATGATCAAAGAAAAAAATGCAAAAGTGATTAGAAAGAAACCACTGTCCTCAAGAAGCTTAGTTTCTCTTGAGGGACATGAGCAGGAACGTTATTACAGTTAATACAGGGCACATTGCATAAACCACCAAAAGTTAAATGAAAAGGAAATGCTTTGGCAGTGCCTGGAGGAAAAGAGATTAATTTTTACTGAGATGACTGGAGCTGACTTAATGGTGTAAGTGACATTTGACCTAAGTAAAGCAAGAGGAAGATTTCATTAGCCAGAGATAGGGAAAGAGGTCACTCCAGGCTAAGGGAGAAGGTTGAGGCAAAGCACAGAGGTGAACAAGGGCAAGACTTTGAAGGGAGACAGCTAGAAAAACAGGAGTGGGTTTAGATAGGGCTTCTGTAAGAAGGCTGATTCATTTGTGAGATAAGGCTCAAAAGGCAGATTGGGGTCAGATGGTGAACCCATGAATATCATGCAAAGAAACTGTGATTTTATGAATGTGGCAGAGGGCAATGAAAAATATCACTTTTTTTGTTTTGTTTTGTTACATTTTGTTATTATTTTTAAACTGGCCAGGATTTAATTTGTAGATATTCTACTTACTATCTCAGTTACATGGGGAAACACATAAAACTATCTTACTTTCATCTCCTAATCTGTATAAGGAGATCATACCTATTCAATTACCTTTTGGTTTTTGAACATTTACTCTGTGCTAGGCTCTGTTCCGGAGCTGGTGATATAGCAGTGAAGAAAAGAGAAGTATTTTATGTCTAAATCAAGATTAAAATCTTGAGGAGGAAAAGCAATGAAAAAATAAAGACATGCATCTATAGTATATGAGGTGGAGATAAATTTGATTAATGGAACTAAAGCACAGTTAGGGGATAGAAAGTGATGGCGGCATCTATTTTCAATAAAGCATTTAGTGCAGGCTTCATTGAGGAGAAAACTGTTGGTCAGGTTCCCACATGACTTTGCAGTGGTAAATGTGTAGGCAGGGAGGACAGCAGGCACAAACTACCTGAGCTGGGAGTGTGCTAGGCATGTTCATAGAATAGCCAAGAGTGCAATGTAGCCGGAACAGAAAGAGGAAAAGCAGGAGTGGGAGTGGTCAGAGGCGAGATGCCATTGAGCCCTGCAGACGGTGGAAAGAACTTGAATTTTATTGTGGGTAATAAAACAACACATTAGGGGTTCTGGATATACATGTGATATACTCTTATGTCCATGTTAATAGGATTACTCTGGCTGTTTTATGGAGAATGAATGAGCATTATATAAGTGAAAGTGAGCATAAGGATGCGATTGGGACAATTTATGAGAAGGATGGCATGCATGGCCAGAACTAAGGTGGTAGAATCACAGTGGTAAAGTGCTTGGATTCCATATATTTGGAAGGTACAGGTGACAATTATTTTCATCTAAATTAAAGGGAGATATGTGAAGAAGAGAGTAGCCAGGGATGAGTAATCTTTTTAAAATTTTTTATTATTATTTTTATTATTGTTATGATTTTTGTCTGAGCATCTAAAAAATGGAGGTGCTCTTTTCTAAGAGGGGAATGTAGCAGGAGAAACAGGTAAGGGAAAGAATTTAGACTTTTGTTTGAGCTACTCTTTAGATGTGCAAGCAGAAATTTTGAATAGCCAATTGTTATACAAGTCTTTAGTTCAAGGGAAAGTTGAGTCTGAGTCTACAAATACACAGTTAGGGACCATCAGTGCATAGAGAGTATTTGGAACACAAGACTGTATGGGATCACCCAGAGAAATAATGTAGAGATCTAGGACTGACTGAGTACAGAGACTTGCAGGTTTCTCACGCTTTAGTGTGAAGAAAATGAGGAGGGTACAGTTAGCACCTAAGGAGGAATGTCTAGTGATGAAGAAAAGAAAATCAAGAGAGGGTATTCCGGAAGAAAAAATAGAGAAAGTGCTTCAAGAAGGAAAAAGTGCTTGGGTATATCCTGTGCTATGATTATGCAAATGAGGTGAAGAGTCAGTCAGAATTTATCATTAGATTCAGCAACATAGAATTACTAGTGAAAACTAACAGGACAGTTTGAGTTGAAGGTGGCTTTTTACATAAAAATGTGGAAAGCTAAAAATCTTTCTCATGAAAAGTTCCCAGTACACTAAAAACTTTTCCTACCAAAGATCCAAAATATTTAGCAAAACATTTACTTAAACTTAACATGTAAATGTTTTAAAACTTCTTAAATATAATTGAACTAAGTATGAAAGAGAATAAGAGAAGTCTTTGAAGGCAAAAGCAACAACAACAAAAAATACACAAAAAATCAAGATGGGAAACAATTTTTAAAGAGGTAAGAAAGTTTCGTAGTTTGACTTTTTTTTTTTTTTTTTTTGAGATGGAGTCTCGCTCTGTCCCGCTGCCTGGAGTGCAGTGGCGCGATCTCGGCTCACTGCAAGCTCCGCCTCCCAGGTTCGCGCCATTCTCCTGCCTCAGCCTCCCGAGTAGCTGGGACTATAGGCGCCCTCTACCGCGCCCAGCTAATGTTTTTTTGTTTTTGTATTTTTAGTAGAGACGGGGTTTCACCGTGTTAGCCAGGATGGTCTCGATCTCCTGACCTCGTGATCCGCCCGCCTCGGCCTCCCAAAGTGCTGGGATTACAGGAGTGAGCCACCGCGCCCGGCCACGTAGTTTGACTTCTAAGAGCACTACAGCTCTGCTGAAGATGTGGTTTGTCAGCTGACTGATTATTCTCTGCTGTTCTGGATAGTCTTCTATGTACAAAACTAGAGGTACCGTCACTCAAAGGGAGGGTAATATAGTTAGGAAAATGTAAGAAATTGTGGGAGAATGATTATAATAATTTATTTTTATTTTACCTGACATTGAAATTTATTATCAACTAGCAATACTAATATTTTTCTAAAGGGGAGAAAACTTTATGATAAAAATGTTTTTAAGAAAAATTGCCTTACTACAAAATGTGCCATATCCAATTTGTGGTTCACTGTATTCTCAAGCTATCAGTCTTATGAAGCAATACATTTATGTTGTATACTCCATAAGCTCCTGTGATAACATTTTATATTGCTTGTCTGCTGCCTGAAGGAGGAGGGCAAAATACTATTTCAATGTGCATTTTGCATCCGAGGAGACTAGACTTGTTTATTGCAATAGTCCCATTTCTTACTCTAGGGCAATGGTTATCTGATATGAAACAGAAAATTAGAAGGGATTTGTTTCTCTTCCCCAGGGAAAAGGGGAGAGGAAAGATAGGAGAGGAGAGGAAAAAGGGAGGGGAAGATACACGATTGACATCCTGGCAGATGAGTACTAAGTGGGTGATCATCTAGTGAGTAGTGATCGGTAGCGATTGGCTGAAATACCTTTTAAGAATTAGAAGTTCAAGTAAGCAATGTCAAATGTTAACTCTGTCATAAATGTTATGATTCTAGCCATGTCACCCTCACATCCTCACTATTGCTTTATGGGGATTATTTTTGTGCATGTAGTCCCTGAGGAAGAGGTTAGATGTCAAGTCTGGTGTTTGGGTTGAATTCTACCCCCACCCCACCGCCGCTGCCAAATTCATTTGTTGAAATCCTAACCGCCAGTACCTCAGAATGTACTCATTTGGAAATAGGATTATTGCAGTTGAGGTCACAGTAGAGTAAGGTGGGCTTCTAATCCAATGTGACTGATGTTCTTAGAAAAAGAACACCACCTGAAGAGAGTGTCATGTACAGAGGGAAGATGATGGGAAGACAGCTAGAACACCATCTGCAAGAGCAAATCACTGGAGCTGAGCAGGTTTTCCCCCATATCCCTCTGAAGGCACCAATCCTACAGACAGCTCACTCTTGGGCTTTCACCCTCCAGAACTGTGATACAAAAAGTTTCTGTGGTTGAAGCCACCCAGTTTGTGGTACTTTGTTACAGCAGCCATAGCAGACTAATAGATTTGAACCTGGTGAAGAAGAAAATCAGCATGAAGAAAATCTGTTTCTTAGAGGCAGAATGAGTTAATTTGGGTTAACTGATGAGTTAATTTGGGTTCTCTGAGAAATAGACACTGGGTGGGATTAGATGTGGAGGAAATCCCTGTGAAGGATAAAAGGAGGGAACAGGGAGAGTCTCTAGACTACAGTGCAAGTCTGACATCTGTGAAATAGAAGGGCAAGAAAGAAGGACTGAGTAGCAAGAGTTTCAAACTGCAGCACAGGACTATGAACATTCGCCAGGTATATGGGGAATCCTCAACTCCAGAGGAGTCCTGTCTGCTGTAGTAATGAGTTCGTAGAATATCCCTGCCATGTTCCTCCACTGGCTGAGAGCAGCTTGAGGGAAGCGTGGCCTCGGCACAAATATAGAGGGGTGGCAACTGGGGTCTGAACTCTCCTCTCCAAAGCGTGAGATTTGACCTGTGCATTTCCATGGCTGCCATACCTGGGAGTCTAAAGATGCCTTAGGAGGGGAAATAATCTATTTCTTGAGAGTTGGATGAAATATGTTATCTGTTTAAGGTACCATCCGGTATTTTATGGTGACAACAGAAGAAAATTTTGATTAATAAAAATGTAAAGAAAGATATCTGCCTTTAGATCAGGGATTGGAAAAGTATGACCTGTGGAACAAATCCAGCCTCTTGCCTGTTTTTGTATGGCTTGTGGGCTAAGAGTGGTTTTTACATGTTTAAAGAGTAAACATGAAGAAGAGAAGAAGAAGGAAGAGGAGAGCAAAGAGGAGGAAGAGGAGAAGGAGGAGGGAGGAGGGGAAGGAGAATCAACCGAGACTGTATATTGTCTGTAAAGTCTATATTTATTATCTGATCCTTTATAAAAAAGTTTGCAGACCACTGCTGCAGGAGAGCAGTCAGTGTCATTGTGATGTCAGGAAAGCTGGCTTAAGAGGATTTATGGATCAGCAGGTTATTCCTTGACCTGTGCCTGTAGAACTAAGCCAAGTTAGGCATGATGAAGAAAGGTGGGAGTAGGTGGGTAGTGCTTGCTCCCTGTAAAAAGAAGGAATGTGGAATAATTAAGCACAAAAGATCCGGCTTCTTTTGTTAGTCATATGACCGTATTAGTTCAGGCTTCCCTTCTCTTTTTTGTCCTTTTCAGATGAGTGGACTTTTCGTGTGCTGTGTGGTGGATGTGACTCAGGTCATAGCCACTGCTCTGAAAAGTGATGGAGTCAGGGAGCCATCATCCAGCCTCACCTCCTGGGTTGTCAACCTACATTTTTGGAGCCAGCTCATTCTTTGAGGTTTCTCTAAGTCCCCATGTAAGTTTAATTGATCTATTTGATGAAGATCTAATTAAAATTTAAAAGTAGGTTGAGAAAATAATCCTTGAAAATAGATACAAAAGCAATAAGACATAAAGGAGAAGGGATCTATAAATTTAAACATTTATTATAAAATTAAATATTTTAGAGATAAGATATTCACAAAAGAGTAGGCAGATAGATATATGGCTTTTATTGGGAGTAAAATATAAGAGCAACGGTTTGAGCAAAGGAATGACATGATGTCATAGAGTATCACTCAAGCTTCTGGGATAGAAATAAACTGTATAGGATGAAGAAACAATATAAAAAGTTCAGAAATAGAGTCAAGTGCATATATGCAGCCCATATATATAATAAATTACTAAGCCCAGTTATTAATTATCAATTCCTACTTTCTTACTCTATCAGCTTTAGGTTCAGCTAGTCTTTGCTTTTTCCTTATATATTTTTTTACTTGGCTTCCAGAAGGAGAAAAGAATGGATTATTTAATAAACAATATAAAAAGAGGTGGTCAGGCCGGGCGCAGTGGCTCAAACCTGTAATCCCAGCACTTTGGGAGGCCGAGGCAGGTGGATCACGAGGTCAGGAGATCAAGACCACGGTGAAACCCTGTCTCTACTAAAAATACAAAAAATTAGCTGGGAGCGGTGGCGGGCACCGGTAGTCCCAGCTACTCAGGAGGCTGAGGCAGGAGAATGGCGTGAACCCAGGAGGCGGAGCTTGCAGTGAGCGGAGATTGCGCCACTGCACTCCAGTCTGGGTGACAGAGCGAGACTCTGTCTCAAAAAAAAACAAAAACAAAAACAAAAACAAAAAACAGGTGATCAACTATTATAAAATATCTTGCTCAATTTCTTATATCAAAATAAATTATAGAACATAATTAATATGTAAAAGAATACCCTTAAAAATCAAGAACATTTTAAAAGCAATACATATTAGTGAGAATGAAAAAAATACAAAAAAATAGAACATATGGTTCACAAATTAAAAAATATAGAGAGATAGATGCTCATTGTTAATGTTCAATCATTCATCAAATATTTATTTTGTGTTTCTTATGTTGCACTTGGGCTATATTAGTTAATACAGTAGACCACAAAATAGACCAAGTGTCAAGTTTATTTCTCAAGAGATGCCATAAGAGAAGAAGCATAATTGCAATCAAGTAAAATACTTACTATTTTAGACATTAAGTATACATGGATCATGAGTGCTGAGGTGGGGATAGGGACTTGCTTGCAGTATTAAGAAGACTGGTGAAGATAAACCTCATAGAAAAGGTGAAGTATAAGCAGATATTGAAATAGAGATTTAGTCAGGCAGACACTTGGAGAGGTGTTCTAGGTAGAGGGAATAGCAGAGCAAAAGTCCTGTGATAGGTCATGTGTGAAGTCTCTAGATAAAGAAATGTGGCCTATGTGCCTGGAGCATCATGGTGGAGAGAGAGTCCTTGGAGAGAAGGTCAGAGTAGTAAGTGGGTCAGATAATGATGGGCATTGGAGGCCTTGAAGAGGATTGTGGCTTTTTACTGTGACTGAAACATTCAGCAGGTTTTTGGCTCTAAGAGATATTATCCAATGTGTGTTTTTACAGAATTATTTAGCTACTGGCATGGAAATAAAGTGTATAGTACAAGGGCAGAAGCAGGCATATTTTTAAGGAGACTATAGTATTGCAGCAATTCAAGTGACAAACGGATACTTAATTTGAACCAGGCACATAACAATGGTGATAGGCTGTTTTTAATTCCAGATATGTTTTGGAGGTAATGACAATAGGATTTGATGACATATTGAATTTAGATAAGAGAGAAAACTAGGAGTAAAAGATGATTCCAAGATTTTTGACCTATGCAGCTGGAAATGTGTATTTGCCATCAATAGAAATGGGGAACGAAAAAGTAAGGGGTGAGTGGGTGTGGAGGGAAGGAGTATGTCGCAGGTATCAGTTTCAGATGTGCTAAATTTGAGATGTTCACTAGGCATTTGGAAATGTGAAGTAGGCAATCCTGTATTTAATCCAGACATTAGGGGAAAGTTAGAGGGAAAAATTTGGAAGACAAGATATGGATGGTATTTAAAACTCTAAAAATCGATATGATCCCCCCAAAAGACAGAGTAAATATCAGACAGGAAAACGTGGACAGGGCTTTTGAAAGATTATAAAATTAAGAGCTAGCAGATTATGGAACCAGCAAAGAAGACTGTGAAGGAACAACCACTGAGACAGAAAAAACACCACCAGGAAATTGTGGTGTCTTACAAGATAAATTAAGAAAATAGAGAGAAGGGGAAAGGAAGAGAGAGGGGAGAGAAAGAGAGAATCAACTGGGTGTAATTCTGTAATTATTATGTATCAAATGAGATAAGGATTGAAAATAGACTATTAGGTGAGCAATAGGGGGTCACTGGCAATTTTGATGGGAGCAATGTTAGCAGCTTCTTGGCCTAATTAGAATAAGGTAGGAGAGACTGAGAGATGAATCAGAAGAATAAGGATTAGAAATCTTTTAAAGAGTTTTTCTGCAAAGAGAAGCAAAGAAATGAGGAGGCAGGGAAAGTGGGGTCCGCATAAAGCTCAAAGCTCATTTGAGATGGGTCAAATAACAGCCCATCCAATGAGAATGATCCAGTAGAGAGTAAATATATGCATATTTATAAGATACATGATATACGTATTATATAGATGTGTGTGTATGTGTGTGTATATATATATATGATATATGATAGAGAGAGAGAAGGGCATTGATAAAGTGATGCATTTTTGAGTGGGTGACACACGATGGCTCCTGGTGCTCCTGTCAAGGTGCTGCGTTTCCACAGAAGTTGGCTAAAATCATATCTGATAACAGGTGGGAAGAAGAGAATGAGAAACAGATATGCTGGTGGATGGGGCTGTTCTGTTGGTGGAGTCGGTGACATTCTCTGCTAAGGGCTTCAATTTTCTCAGTGAAGTGGGAAGCAAGGGTATTGCTGTGAAAATTGTATTAGGGTATATGTGTAAAGCTGATAGAACAGTTCCTAATACTTGTAGTAATAAACCTATTAGCACAGAAAGTATTCATAACATATTAGTAATTTTAAAATATGGTTACAAATGGCATGTAGGGTCTAACCGCATTTTCTGCATATAAAAATTTTTGAGGATGAACACTAAAATTTTAACAGCAGAAAGTATCTTGTGTTGTCTTTGACCAAGAGTTAAAGCTAAAGAAAGCAAAGGACACTGTGAACCTCAAATACAGGATTAATTAAGGTGCAAATCAAAGGTAGGATATATGCCAAACTGAAGCACACCAGACATAAATTTAGAAGCAATGTTAGGAGATACTCGAAGGAACCCAAAGAGGTGTATCTATGCTTATTTACCTTTACGCTCTCTTTAATATAGAGTTTGGGAGTGAGGTATTATAGGGGAGAAACTTTAAAGGGCAGACAGATATTATTTTTTCCTTACATAGCTTTGTATTGACTATTGTGTTGGTTGTTACAAACTAGAATACTCAACTCCAGACTTCATGGGTATTTATTTCATTACATATGCTGAAAAACAGCTGCAGTCTGGTGATTATTTGCAATGATCTAGAGAGCTCCTATTTAATGGTCTTTAGTAAATCTTTACAAATTCCTAATTGAGTTCATGACTTGTCCAGAAACTAAGTACATGAGTGTTTTTGAAAGTTTAAAATAATTTCATAACTTGAAAGATGTAGTTCATATGAGAAAATTGTTTTATAATTATAGTGAATTGGAATCAAAAGTATTTTATAAGTCAGAACAATTACTTTTTAAAATAGTTGAAATGTAGTTTAAGTGAAAAAGAATGTTTTTAACATGTTTATTCTTTATTCTTTGTAATATGCCTTGCTCTGCAAACATTTTATCACTATTTTCTGTTTTGGCAGGATCATGACCCACATCTATTTAAAACTAATTTGCTTTTTAAAGTTTAAATTCTCCTTTATGACTGCATTTGAATATTTCATTCTATATGTTGTTTTGTTTCAATTAGCTGCTGAACATTCCTAATTGTTTCTTTTTAATATTCTAGCTACAATTCAATGTGACTTTGACAAGTAGTGACTAATATAAAGAGTTTTACTTTTAAATATGCCTTTCAATCTCTCTTGGCATTTATTTTTTATGCACATTATGACCACAGCAAGTCACTTTTCATCTCAGAGATTTCAATTTCTCATTTGGAAAAGGTGCACATCAGATTACACAATAGAAACCGTTTCATTGTAAAAGAGAATTCTCATTATTTTCATGAGTATTTCTAATCTTTCACAAACTTTTAGAATTTAGGAATAGCAAAGATTAGATATTTTCCAGTTCACGGTAAGTTCAGGTTTTGCCAGGTATGTTTAAAAAATTAGGTAATAACTCAGGCTCAGTGATGGGCTTCTAACTGATGGTCAAGTATTAGTTTTTTATGGCTACATATCAGCAACAAGGTACGGTAAATATGGGCAGAATTTTCCCTCTTGCTGAGGGGAGGTCAGTCTTTTGCTCTATTCAAACTGATTGGATGAGACCCATCTATATTATAGAGGACAATATGCTTAATTAAAGTCCACAGATTTAAATGTTAATCTCACCTAAAAACATCCTCATGGCTAGGCGCAGTGGCTCACGTATGTAATCCCAGCACTTTGGAAGGCTGAGGCAGGTGGATCCTCCGAGGTCAGGAGTTCAAGACCAGCCTCACCAACGTGGTGAAACCCCATCTCTACTAAAAATACAAAAATTAGCCAGGTGTGGTGGCAGACGCCTGTAATCCCAACTACTTGGGAGGCTGAGGCAGGAGAATCGGTTGGACCTGGGAGGTGGAGGTTGCAGTGAGCCGAGATTGCACCATTGCACTCCTGCCTGGTGAGCAGAGCGAGACTCCGTCTCAGAAAACAAACAAACAAAAAAAGCAGAAAAACATCCTCATAGGAACATCCAGAACAATGTTTGACCACATATCTAGGCACGATGGCCCAGTCAAGTCGGCATATAAAATTAACTATCACACGCTAACTTGCTATTTTCTTCAGAGAACTTCAACAACCCTGAACTCACTTTGTAGGAGGTGAGACACCAAAACATATGAGAAGGAACCCCACTATTCCTGATGACTATCAGATATGTTTAAAAGTAACATAAAGATAAGGGGACAGACGGGCGCAGTGGCTCATACCTGTAATCCCAGCACTTTGGGAAGCTGAGGCGGGTGGATCACTTGAGGTCAGAAGTTTGAAACCAGCCTGGCCAGCATGGCAAAACCCCATCTCTACTAAAAATACAAAATTTAGCTGGGTCTGGTGGCATGTGTCTGTAATCCCGGCTACTCTGGAGGCTGAGGCCGGAGAATTGATTAAACATGGGAGGTGGAGGTTGCAGTGAGCTGAGATCGGACCACTGCTCTCCAGTCTGGGTGACAAAGGGAGACTCTGTCTTGAAAAAAAAAAAAAAAAAGAAAAGAAAAGAAAAAAAGAAAAAGAAAAAGATAAGGGGTTAATCTTTTCTGACTTTTGAGATTCATGGAGTTATGAAGATCCAGGTTACTAACTCATCATAATAATATTTTAGAATGGTAGTGTTGTACTAAATTTATGATAGAATAACTTACAGATTCCCATATCACAGAGAATATTTGTTGAAATATATGAAATTGTCACCTATTTTTTCATTACATTTCATTATTTTTAAATCAAATTAAATGTGGCCTGAGGAATTGCAATCTAGCTTAAAACCAAAAACCTAACTTAGAAGTTTGCCTATGTCACAAATAGCTGTCTCAGCCAATCACAGAAGTCGAGCTTCTGTCCATAGCAGGAGGCCAACTGTTCAAAACAGGTTCAATTAAGGCAAAAGCCCAGGTTTAACCAATCAAGCTGTCTCTGTACCTCACTTCCATTTTCTGTACATTGCTCTATTTTCTCTGGCTATAAATATAGCCTGCACATGTGGTGGGGTGGAGCATTCTGAATCATTTTTGGTCCAGACTGCTGCTCGATTCTAGAATCACAAATTAAAGCCAGTAAGATCTGCAAAACTGGAATTGATGTAATTTTGCCTTTTAACATTATAAAATGATTAACAACTGTAAATGATAATATAAACCAAACATTGAAAAATGCATTTTTATTTACTTTTATTATCCTTCTTTTATAACCTAGAATTACTAGGCACAAGATTAGTCCCATATTTTAAGGTAGTAAACACTAGTAATTTGCATGATAAACTTTGTGGCTAGATAGCCCCTTGATAACTGAAATTCAATTTGATATAACAGCATTTCAAAAGAAATGCCTTCACACCCTCCTGACACATAGAAATATGATTACTTTGTTAAAGAAAAGAAAAACACTTTGAAGAAAATATTATTTAAGTATTTAGCTCTAGAAATTATAACAAGTGATTTATTTTTCAGGTTGGAATTTCACGTTATACTCTATTCACATACTAACTCTGTGGGCTTGCATAATCACGCATTGCATCTAACATACAGTCACTGTGCTAAGTAGTTACTGAGGCTACAGGTGTGGTAGAAGATGGCTTTGCTCCAATTATATGGGAGAGCAGATTCCAGTTTCCAGATCTAGTTTAAATGAAGCTAAAACAGGAATGAACTTTAAAATTGCTCCCATCAATTCAGTCTGCAGAAAACACTGATGCTGATGAAGAAAATGGTGGCTCACACCTGTAACCCCAGCACTTTGGGAGGCTGAAGCAGGCGGATCACTTGAGGTCAGCAGCTCAAGACCAGCCTGGTGAACATGGTGAAACACCATCTCTTCTAAAAATATAAAAAAAATTAGCTGGGCTTGGTGGCAAGTGCCTGTAATCCCAGCTACTGGGGAGGTTGAGACAGGAGAATCACTTGAACCTGGGAGGCAGCTGCAGTGAGCCGAGATCACACCATTTCACTCCAGCCTGGGCAACCAAGCAAGATTCCATCTCAAAAGAAAAAAAAAAAAAAAAAAAAAGGAAAGAAAAAGGAAGGAAGGCAGGGAGGTAGCAAAACCACACTGCACAATCTAGAGAAAGAATGGGCTACCTCACCATCCCTGCATCTAGCAAAAAAGATGAAGTCTCTCCAAACAATTTAGAGAATGTGGGAAAACAGAAGTGATCATTCCAGGACAGACCACAGGAGTGAGACAAGAGCAATGTGGGTTCCAGTGAAGAGGGTAAAGAACAGTTTTTAGGATGCAGATATGTGGATACACATAGAAAAGGTCATGTGAAGACACAGTGAGAAGGCACAATCTGCAAAACAAGGAGAGGCTTTAGATGAAATAAAACCTGCCAACAACTGGATCTAAGGCTTCTAGCCTCCAGAAGTGAAAAAAATAATTATCTATTGTTTAAGTCACTCAATTTGTGAAAGTTTGTTATGGGAGCCTAAGTAAGCTAGTACAGTTATTATTAGTTGTTTGGCGAGAGCAACTTGCCAGAGACATGGCTCAAGAATGAAATGCTTTAAGACACATTGTACTCAACTTCACTGGCTTACTAAAGACACTTTCCCTTAAAACATGTAGGTTTCCATATTTTTAAAAAATCAAATTTTTCAAATTTTAAAACTAGAATTTAAACATTTAGTTTTAAAAATCATTTTAATTATTTGACAAATAAAATACTTATGCTGTACACCATAATGTTTTGAAATATGCGTACATTGTGAAATGGCTAAATTGAGCTAGTTTACATATCTATCACCTTATGCCCTTATGATTTTTGGCTATAAGAGCATTTAAAATTTATTCTCTTTGAGGTTCTCAAGTATATAACACACTGTTATTATCTATAGTCACCATGCTGCACAACAGATCTCATGAACTTATTCCTCCTATTGATCTGAAATTTAAAATCAATTTTATTTATAATAGCCACCAAAAAACACTTAGAAATAAATTTAACCAAGGAGGTGAAAGATCAGTACACTGAAAACTACAAAATATTGATGAAAGAAATTGGAGAAGACACAAATAAGTAAAAAGATACACCATGTTCACACATTGGGAGAACTTACATTGTTAAAATGTCCATACTACCCAATGCTATCTGTAGATTCCGTGCATTTCCTACCAAAATTTCAATGACATTTTTTTCTCAGAAAAAAATATACTAAAATTTTTATGGAGCCACCAAAGATCTTGCATAGCCAAAGCAATGATAATCAAAAATAACAGAGCTGAAGGCATCATACTACCTGACCTCAAAACCTCATACAACTATATAGCAATCAAAAAAGCATGGTACAGAAGCTCTTTAGTTAAATTAGATTCCATTTGTCAATTTTGGCTTTTGTTGACATTGCTTTCGGTGTTTTAGTCATGAAGTCTTTGCCCATGTCAATGTCCTGAATGGTATTGCCTAGGTTTTCTTCCCTGGTTCTTATGGTTTTAGGTCTTACGTTTAAGTCTTTAATTCATCTCGAGTTAATTTTTGTACAAGGTGTAAGGAAGGGGTCTAGTTTCAGTTTGCTGCATATGGCTAGCCAGTTTTCCCAACACCATTTATTAAATAGGGAATCCTTCCCCATTGCCTGTTTTTGTCAGGTTTGTCAAACATCAGATAGTTCTAGATGTGTGGTGTTATTTCTGAGGCCTCTGTTCTGTTCCATTGGTCTATATATCTGTTTTTGTACCAGTACCATGCTGTTTTGGTTACTGTAGCCTTGCAGTATAGTTTGAAATCAGGTAGCATGATTGAAGCCTCCAGCTTTGTTCTTTTTCTTAGGGTTGTCTTAGCTATATGGGCTCTTTTTTGGTTCCATATGAAATTTAAAGTAGTTTTTTCTAACTCTGAAGAAAGCCAATGGTAGCTTGACAGGAATAGCATTGAATCTATAAATTACTTTGGGCAGTATGGCCATTTTCACGATATTGAATCTTCCTATCCATGAACATGGAATGTTTTTCCATTTGTTTGTGTCCGCTCTTATTTCCTTAAGCAGTGGTTTGTAGTTCTCCTTGAAGAGGTCCTTCACATCCCTTGTAACTGTGTTCCTAGGTATTTTATTTTCCTTCTAGCAATTGTGAATAGGAGTTCACTCATGATTTGGCTCTCTGTTTGTCTATTATTGGTGTATAGGAATGCTTGTGATTTTTACACATTGACTTTGTATCCTGAGAGTTTACTGAAGTTGCTTATCAGCTTAAGGAGATTTTGGGCTGAGACAATCGGCTTTTCTAGATATACAATCATGTCATCTGCAAACAGAGACAATTTGACTTCCTCTCTTCCTATTCGAATGCCCTTTATTTCTTTCTCTTGCCTAATTGCCCTGGCCAGAACTTCCAATACAATGTTGAAAAGAAGTGGTTAGAGAGGGCAACCTTGTCTTGTGCTGGTTTTCAAAGAGAATTCTTCCAGCTTTTGCCCATTCAGTATGATATTGCCTGTGGGTTTGTCATAAGGGGTGTTGAATTTTATCAAAGGCCTTTTCTGGATCTATTGAGATAATTATGTGGTTTTTGTCATTGGTTCTGTTTATATGATGGATTATGTTTATTGATTTGTGTATGTTGAACAAGCCTTGCATCCCAGGATGAAGCCAACTTGATCATCGTGGGTAAGTTTTTTGATGTGCTGCTGGATTCAGTTTGCCAGTATTTTACTGAGGATTTTCTCATCGATGTTCATCAGGGATATTGGCCTGAAATTTTCTTTTTTTGTTGTGAATCTGCTAGGTTTTGGTATCAGGATGATGCTGGCCTCATAAAATGAATTAGGGAGAAATCCCTCTTTTTCTATTGTTTGAAATAGTTTTAGAGGGAATGGCACCAGCTCCTCTTTGTACCTCTGGTGGAATGTGGCTGTGCATCCAGCTGATCCTGGGCCTTTTTTGGTTGGTAGGCTATTAATTACTGCTTCAATCTCTCACCACTCCTATTCAACATAGTATTGGAAGTTCTGGCCAGGGCAATCAGGCAAGAGAAAGAAATAAAGGGTATTCACATAGGAAGAGAGGAAGCCAAATTGTCTGTTTCCAGATAACATGATTGTATATTTAAAAAGCTCATTGTCTCAGCCCAAAATCTCGTTAAACTGATAAGAAACTTCAGCAAAGTGTCAGGATACAAAATCAATGTGCAAAAATCACAAGCATTCCTATACATCAATAATAGACAAGCAAAGAGCAAAATTATCAGTGAACTCCCATTCACAATTGCTACAAAGAACTTACAAGGGATGTGAAGGACCTCTTCAAGAACTACAAGCCACTGCTAAAAAAAATAAGAGAGGACACAAACAAATGGAAAAACATTCCATGCACATAGATAGGAAGAATCAATATCGTGAAAATGGCCATACTGCCCAAAGTAATTTATAGATTCAATGCTATTCCCATCAAACTACCATTGACTTTCTTCACAGAGGTAGAGAAAACTACTTTAAATTTCATATGGAACCAAAAAAAAGCCTATATAGCCAAGAGAATCCTAAGAAAAAGAACAAATCTGGAGGCATCAATCACACTACCTGATTTCAAACTATACTTCAAGGCTACAGTAACCAAAACAGCATGGTACTGGTACTAAAACAGATATATAGACCAATGAATCAGAACAGAAGCCTCAGAAATGATGCCATACATCTACAACCATCTGATGTCTGACAAACCTGACAAAAACAAGTAATTGGGAAAGGATTCCCTATTTAATAAATGGTGTTCGGAAAACTGGCTAACCATATGCAGAAAACTAAAACTGGATCCCTTCCTTCCACTTTATACAAAAATTAACTCAAGATGGATTAGAGATTTAAACATAAGATCGAAAACTATAGAAACCCTAGACAAAAACCTAGGCAATACCATTCAGGTCATAGGCATGGACAAAGACTTCATGACTAAAACACCAAAAGCAATGGCAACAAAAGCCAAAAATGACAAATGGGATCTAATTAAACTAAAGAGCTTGTGCACAGCAAAAGAAACTATCATCAGAGTGACCAGGCAACCTACAGAATGGGAGAAAATTTTTGCAATCTATCCATCTGACAAAGGGCTAATATCCAGAATCTACAAAAGAACTTAAACAAATTTACAAAAAAAAAAAAAAAACCATCAAAAAGTGGGCAAAGTATATGAACAAGCACTTCTCAATAGAAGACATTTATGCAGCCACAAACATATGAAAAAAAGCTCATCATCACTGGTCATTAGAGAAATGCAAATCAAAACCACAATTGGAAACTATCTCATGCCAGTTAAAATGGAGATCATTAAAACGTCAGGAAACAACAGATGCTGGAGAGGATGTGGAGAAATACGCACGCTTTTACACTGTTTGTGGGAGTGTAAATTAGTTCTACCTTTGTGGAAGACAGTGTAGAGATTCCTCAATGATCTAGAACTAGAAATACCATTTGACCCAGCAATCCCATTACCAGGTATATACCCAAAGGATTATAAATCATTCTACTATCAAGACACATGCACATCTATGCTTACTGCAGCACTGTTCACAATAGTAAAGACTTGGAACCAACCCAAATGCCCATCAATGATAGACTAGATAAAGAAAATGTGGCACATATATACCATGGAATACTATGCAGCCATAAAAAAGGATGAGTTCATGTCCTTTGCAGGGACATGGATGTAGCTGGAAACCATCATTCTCAGCAAACTAACACAGGAACTGAAAACCAAACACCACATTTTTCTCACTCATAAGTGGGAGTTGAACAATGATAACACATGTACACAGGGAGGAGAATATCACACACTGGGCCTGTTGGGGGTTGGGGGCAAGGTGAGGGATAGCATTAGGAGAAATACCTAATGTAGATGATGGGTTGATGGGTGCAGCAAACTACCATGGCACTTGTATACCTATGTAACAAACCTGCATGTTCTGCACATGTATCCCAGAACTTAAAGTATAATTTAAAAAAAAAAAAAAAGAAATTGAAATGGGCAAATTAAAAATATTTTAATAAATTGATTTTTAAAAAGCATGGTACTGGGATAAAACAGACACATAGACCAGTCGAACAGAATGGGGAACCCAGAAATAGATTCACACATTTATGCCCAGTTGATTTTTGACAAAGGTGCCAAGAACACACAATGGGAAAGGACTGTTTCTTCAAAAAAATGGTTTTAGGAAAACTAGATATCCACACGCAGAAGAATAAAATTAGGCCCTTATGTTATTTTAAAGATTCTTCTTTACTTGCAACTGGGCTACTTCCCAATAAGCCCACAAGAATATCAAAATACTGTAAATCAAAAATTCACTTAATACCCCTAAGCTATAGAACATCATAGCTTAGCCTAGCCTATGTTAAATGTGTTCAGAGTACTTATTAATATATTAGCCTACGGTTGAGCAAAATCATCTAAGACAGTCTATTTTATAATAAACTGTTAATATCTCATGTAATTTATAGAATAATGTACTGAAAGTGAAAAACAGAGTGGTTGTATGGGTATTTGAAGTACAGTTTTTGAAGAATGCATACTGTTTTTGAACCATTGTGAAGTTGAAAAATTAAGTCAAGGACCATCTGCATTTTTGTTAAGTATCAAGTTAAATAACAAGAGTTATATATATTTATACATTCCTGGGTTGCTTGGTCAATCGTAAATATTTGCTTCAAGACTTTGGTGTTCAGAATAAAGTAAAGCAGGTGTAACACATCTTTGGAGGTTCCTTTTTGGTTATAACATTCCTTGTTCTTACACATGTAATTTTGTAACTTAAAAATTACTCATATTAAATAAGAAAACTTGCATTGGAGTACACATTAGTCAAATATTCTTGAGATTTAATTTCATTGATAAAATAATGTATTTATCAGTAAAATAAAATTTGTTACCAATTAAAACCTTGTTTTAGATAAAATAGGCATAATATTTATGATCATTATACTGTAATAAATTTTTAGGCATTGTAATCAGAGCCTGAGTTTGGAATACATCTGTTCACTCAATCTACCTGTATATTCCAAACCTATCATTTATGATTAAGTTATAAATAATAGGCAAAGGGCTTAGTTTTAATATGACAGTTTTGATATTTTGTTACAGACAGAACATAAGATAATATACATAGGGTAAAGCATAGTCTTGAACACTTCAGTTTTTCAACTGGGAATATATTTGGAGGAGCTCAAAAACATACATCTGCAAACACTGCACTATTACTTGATCATTTTATATTCATTCAACATGTATTAGTCCGCTTTCACACTGCTGATAAAGACATACCTGAGACTGGGAAGCAAAAGAGGTTTAATTGGACTTACAGTTCCACATGGCTGGGGAAGGCCCAGAATCATGGCAGGAGGCAAAAGGCACTTCTTACAAGGCGGTGGCAAGAGAAAATGAGGAAGACGCAAAAGCTGAAACCCCTGATAAAATCATCAGATCTTGTGAGACTTACTCACCACCACAAGAACAGCATGTGGGAACTGCTCCCATGATTCAAATTATCTCACACCAGGTCCCTCCCACAACATGTGGAAATTATAGGAACTACAGTTTAAGATGAGATTTGAGTGGGGACACAGAGTGAAACCATATCATCCCACCCCCGCCCCTCCAAATCTCATGTCCTCATATTTCAAAACCAATCATGCCTTCCCAACAGTCCCCCAAAGTCTCACCTCATTTTAGCATTAACCCAAAAGTCCATAGTGTAAAGTCTCATCTGAGACAAGGCAATTCCCTTCCACCTATGAGCCTGTAAAATCAAAAGCAAACTAATTTCTTTCTAGATACAATGGGGGCACAGGTATTGGATAAATACAGCCATTCCAAATGGCAGAAACTGGCAAAACAAAGTGGTTACAGGGCCCATGCAAGTCCAAAATTTTAAATCTCCAAAATTATCTCCTTTGACTCCAGGTCTCATATGCAGGTCACACTGATGCAAGAGGTTGTTTCCCATGGTCTTGGGCAGCTCCACCCTGTGGCTTTGCAGGGTACAGCCTCCCTTCTGGCTTCTTTCGCAAGCTGGCATTGAGTGTCTGTGGCTTTTCCAGGTGAACAGTGCAAGCTCTCTGTGGATCTACCATTCTGGGGTCTGGAGGAGGGTGGCGCTCTTCTCACAGCTCCACTAGGCAGGGCCCCAGTAGGGTTTCTGTGTGGGGCCTCCAACCCCACATTTCCCTTCAGCACTGCCCTAGCAAAGGTTATCCATGAGCTCCCTACTCCTGCAGCAAACTTCTGCCTGGGCATCCAGGCATTTCCATACATGTTCTGAAATCTACGCAGTGGTTCCTAAACCCCAATTCTTGACTTCTGTGCACCAGCAGGCTCAACACCATGTCGAATCTGCCAAAGCTTGGGGCTTACACCCTCTGAAGCCACAGCCCGACCTCTAGGTTGGTCCGTTTCAGCCACAGCTGGAGCGGCTGGGACCCAGAGCACCAAGTCCCTATGCTACACACAGTACGTGGACCCTAGGCCCAGTCCATGAAACCATTTTCTCCTAGGTCTCGGGGCTTATGATGATGGGAAGGGCTGCCTTGAAGACCTCTGACACGCCCTGGAGACATTTTCCCCATTGTCTGGGGGACTAACATTTGGCTCTTTGTTACTTATGCCAATTTCTGCAGCAGGCTTGAATTTCTCCTCAGAGAACGGGTTTTTCTTTTCTTTTCTTTTCTTTTTTTTTTGAGACTGAGTCTCGCTCTGTCACCCAGGCTGGAGTGCAGTGGCGCGATCTCGACTCACTGCAAGCTCCGCCTCCCAGGTTCACGCCATTCTACTGCCTCAGCCTCCAGAGTAGCTGGGACTACAGGCGCCCGCCACCATGCCTGGCTAATTTTTTGTATTTTTAGTAGAGACAGGGTTTCACCATGTTAGCCAGGATGGTCTCGATCTCCTGACCTTGTGATCCACCGGCCTCGGCCTCCCAAAGTGCTGGGATTACAGGCGTGAGCCACCACGCCCGGCCCTGCGTTTTTCTTTTCTATCACAGTCAGGCTGCAAATTTTCCAAACTTATATGCTCTTCTTCCCTCATAAAACTGAATGCCTTTAACAGCACCAAAAGTCACCCCTTGAATGCTTTGCTGCTTAGAAATTTCTTCCTCCAGGTACCATAAATCATTTCTCTCAAGTTCAAAGTTCTACAAATCTCTAGGGCAGGGGCAAAATGCCACCAGTTTCCTTGCTGAAACATAACGAGGCTCACCTTTGCTCCAGTTCCCAACTATTTCCTCATTTCTATCTGAGACCACCTCAGCCTGGACCTTATTGTCCATACCACTATCAGCATTTTGGGCAAAGCCACACAACAAGTCTCTAATAAGTTCCAAACTTTCGCACATTTTCCTGTGTTCTTTTGAGCCCTCCAAACTGTTCCAACCACTGCCTGTTACCCAGTTCCAAAGTTACTTTCACATTTTCGGTTATCTTTTCAGCAATGCCCCACTCTACTGGTACCAATTTAATGTATTAGTTTGTTTTCTTGCTGCTCATAAAGACATACCCGAGACTGGGAAGAAAGAGAGGTTTAATTGGACTTACATTTCCACATGGCCCGGGAGGCCTCAGAATTATGGCGGGAGGTGAAAGGCACTTCTAACATGGCAGCAGCAAGAGAAAATGAGGAAGATGCAAAAGCAGAAACCCCTGATAAAACCATCAGATCTTGTGAGACTTATTTACTACCATAAGAATGGTAATGAATTGGGGGATGTATGGGGGATACTGCCCTCATGATTCAAATTAGCTCCCACTGGGACCCTCCCACAATACAAGGGAATTATGGGAGCTACAATTCAAGAAGAGATTTGGATGGGGCTACAGAGCCAAACCATATAACCACACATATTTTATTTGAGCAGCAAAGTACATGCAGTCAAAATAAATGAGCAGCAAAGTAAATGCTTTTACATTGACTATTTTACAGGTCAAGAGAAACTTAAACAGATCTTGACTTACATAAGCCATATGAATTTATTGAACATGTGCTATGCAGCAGTTCTAACTCTAGATTACATTAAGAAGTGGGGGTAGTTGGAGTCATTGTGTAGCTTCTAACTTGTACAGGGAGAATTTACTAATTCAGAAATTGTGTGATTAACAGAAATTTTAAAAGAAACCTTTGCTATAAGCAAGACAGAGGCATAACTCTTGTGAATTACTCACAGTGTAGAAAGACAGATTAGATTAACACATCTGTACAAATGAACCCTGTGAGATCAGGAAACAAAAATATATACCTAAGAAAGCTTCACTACTGATCCTGCCTTAAATGTTTTACTTGCAAAAGAAAACAATTACCATTTTGTTCCCAAGCATACATTTTCAAAGGCTTGGTTCTTGTAAATGTGTATTTTTCTTCGATTTTCAAAATTTTTCACATTGCATGTATCATTATAGTTTTTAAAATGATCATATGTAGATCCAGTGTTCTTTACAAAACATTTTTGAGAGCGTTAATAAATTTCCATCTCACATACATTGCTGATTGTTTCAGCATCATCATTATCTCTTGCATTTTGAACCTACAGGGGAGCTTTATTAAAAATTTAAGAGTTCTGGGTCTTTGAAAGCATAGAAGATATGGTGTAGTGAAGCTGATCTCATTGCTTAGGAAACAGATATATGCCAAAGGAATTGTTTCAGGGTAATTTACTATTCTGGAGAGAGTTTCTGAGCTACTGACCTGTCTATATGTAAATCAAATTTTATTTATTTTCAAGTTTGTAGAAATACATTTCAAGATATATATATGTATAGAGAAATATGGGAATTTTAGTTTCTATTCTGTATCTAGAATACTTATAAAATATTGTAAAATTATCAAAATTAAGTATAAATATTATTTCCTTGTATCAGTATAGTACATTGAGGAGATTCACAAATTTAGTATTTTTAGTTTCAAAAATATTTTGTCAGAAAAATTCAAACACAATGTGCCATAAAGCTTTTTGTTATACATTGCTTGTATTGTCCATTTATGATAATGTAATTGTGTTACTTCAAACACAATTATAAACAACAGCATTTCTGTTATTGCTATCATATATCCTCAAAAGTCTTGTCATTTGCAAAAGCCATTGGTAATTTCATATTGCAGAATTGCATCCTTACAAAGATTTGACAATATTATTTGGCTACAATTTTGATCACAAATTTAAATTCACATAAAATTGTTATTGAGCATTTTAGACTCTAAAAGTATGATGTATGTACTAAGCTTAATATTATAAACTGAAAGATCTGGGTCAAGAATTATGCATGCCTCTCTTCTTCCAAAATTATTAAAATAAAATTATAAAAGAGCATAAAAGGAAATAAACACATCATGAAATAAAAAAGGAGGCAATTTCTAGTGGCAAGAGACCTTGTAAAATTTCTGGAACAGAAAGTGTCTGGAAGTATTTGAAAGATGAAGTGTTTTGTTAGTTTTTTTTTGAGACAGGGTCTCATCCTCTCCCAGGCTGGAGTTCAGTGGTATTATCATGGCTGACTGTAGCCTCTACCATTTAGGCTTAAATGATCTTCCTGCCTCAGCCTCCCAAGTAACTGGGACTACAGGAGTGTGCCACCACACCCAGCTAATTTTTTATTTCATTTTAATCTTTTTTGTAGTGATGGGCCCTCACTTTGTTGCCCAGGCTGGTTTCAAACTCCTGGACTCAAGCAACCCTCCTGCCTCAGCCTCCCGAAGTGCTGGGATTACACATGTCAGCCGCCGGACCAGGTGAGGGATGAAATTGACTGTAGTGATGAGCAGTTATGGTCTGAATTTTCCAGGAAGTAGACCGACCAAGATTAGGCATGCTGGAAGTTTATTAGAGAATGTGCTTAGCATTGATACCTGAGAGGGGAAGAAAAGAAAGCAAGTTTGGGCACACAGAGAAACTCGAGTTGCAATACAAATGCAGTAGAGGCTTCAGCTGGCCCCAGACAAAAGTCTGAAGCTGTCATGGACCTTCAGATTTGTCTCGTTTTAGGGCTAGAGGATGGGCTTTTATAAATATCAACCAGTCATTGGCGTGGGCTGCCTGGGAAGGACCCTGATCTTAGACAAGACAGCTTAGAGTAGCTGAGTGCAGGATAAAGTTTAAGGGAATTGCTGAGGTGCTTCCCTTTGAGAGATCAGGATCTCTAACACTTCAGAGTACAGAGTTGTGGGAAAAAGAAACATATTCTCCAGGAAGGTTACTAGGAGTGATGGTAGATGAAGAATTCCCTATTTTGACTCCTGAGTTCCTAGACCTATGTAGTCTATCTACTGGGTACAACTCCATATGATAATTGCAGATATGGGAATTGTACTGTTTCCTGGCAGAAAGTGAATCTCTTCAAAGGGAATTATCTCCAAGGTGGCACCCCAGCTGTGCCATCAATGGCTCCATCATTCCCACAGGCCAGCAGCTTCTGATGGGTGTGGTTTAGGATAGGACCAGTGAATGCCTTGGTCATGGGGCAATTTATGCTTCTGTTCTTGTCATGATTCGATATTATATGTGATGCATTGGCTATGAATCAATCTATAAGCCCTTTAATAGTGACACTTATTGAGGGTTTGTAGGTGAGAAAAGCAAAATGTAAAAATGATAGAAATGTTTATAATCAAAAGTAACTCTTGGTCAAAAGAAGTCCACTGTGTTGATTTGCCACCATGTGGCCCACTGACTTATTCAAAGGATGATGCTGTAATAAGGGCTCAGTGCCTGTCCCTCCTCCTGGCAGGTTGGATGTTTAGTAGAAGCAGTAGACAGATCAAACTCGATGAGTGGGAGCCACCTTGATGCTTCCATTCACAACTGGGTCGCCCAGAGACAGAGACTGTCTGATAACAGTGGGCCAAGTCAATGTGTCTACTTGTTATTCAGTGCCTCTTTCAGAATAATTGCCATCTGGTAGGCATTAGCATGAAGTACAGTGATCTTCACATTACGTTCTACCTCCCATAGGTCCATCCAGACTCTTCTACCCAAGCCTACATCTCCAATCTTCTAATCTTCCAGGGCCCTGACAAAGCCTTTGGTTTCTCCCTATTAGTTTGTGTAAATTCTCACCTTAGGTAGCTTCAATTTCCACACAAAATGAGAGATCAGGTAAAAAAGTTCTGCTGAAAAGTTCTGCCCATTGGGAAGATTTTCCATTTGTGCTATTTTTCAAGGCTGTCCCTGAGTGGGCCTGTATGACAGCTACATTTTGTTCCAGTTTACTCTGATATATGGAGCCAAATCATATTTGTTTCAATTTGCATTTGAACCAAGATGGGCCATTTTCCTCCATCTTCTCCACAAAAGGAACCCTCCCCTTTAAGGAAAATATTGCATTAGCTATTGTTTAGGGGCATATGAAGAAGAAAGACTTCCGTTACTATCTTCTTGCTTAGTCATTATCCAGGGGTCATTCTGAAGAGTATGACCTCAGACCAAATACTGAGGCATATCTAGAGAGAACTAAAATAGAAAATATCAGCCAATCAATTTTTGCAGCTGGAAAGCAAGGCCGTTCTTGAAGGGTTATCTGACCTGCATATCTTCATTCAACATCAATACATAAAATTTAATTTTGTTTTTATATATCACCAATAAGCTACTAAAAATAAAATGTATATCTTTTTCTTTCTAACCCTGTTAACGATTTCCTCTATCTTCTTGAACATATGGTGTATTTTTACAACAGCTACTAATTCCATCATGTCTGGCTTTGTTTACACTGATTTATTTTTTTGTCTATAGTTATGGGCCATATTTTTCCTACTCTTTGCATGCCTGGTAAATTTTGTTTGGCTATTGTATACTCTGAATTTTATATTGCTTGGTGTTGGATTTTGCTCAATTAAGTTACCTGAAATTAGATTGGTCTTTTTGCATTCTAACTTAATTCTCAGTTATGTGGGTGTTATGGAATTCTTTAGTATATGGCTAATTTAGCTCTACTGAGATTATATCCCTTTTTAGGATTCTATCCAATATTCTGTGTTTGTAAGATCTTTCTGCTCTGGCTCATAGGACACAAACTGTTTGCATCATGCTTTCTCTAGTCCTAGGTAATTTCTTCTTATGCACATACAGATAAGTATTTAACCAAGACTTCCAGGGGTTCCCTCTACAAGTCTCTAGATTCTCTCTCTCTACCACCACTTTCTCTCTAGTATTCTGCCCTACAGACTCTAGCTATCTTGCCCTCCCTCCACTAAGCTACATCGCATGACTCTGGCAGGGTACTGTCTCCCCGCACCTCTCAATAGAGCAATTGCCTCTAAGTAATAAGCTGAGGCAGTTGTAGGGTTCACCCCTCTGCATTCTTTTTCTAAGGTGTCACAGTCCTTGAATTACAAGTACTTGAATTAATACAAAATAAAATTAGCACAAAGGATACTAAAGAGATTAATAGAACAAAATAGACCCACACATATGTGAACACTTGACTTATAGTAAGAATTATATTAAATAGGCCAGGCACGGTGGCTCACACTTGTAATCCCAGCTCTTTGGGAGGCCGAGGCGGGTGGATCACAAGGTCAGGAGATAGAGACCATCCTGGCTAGCACGGTGAAACCCCGTGTCTACTAAAAAATACAAAAAATTAGCCAGGCGTGGTGGCGGGCGCCTGTAGTCCCAGCTACTCGGGAGGCTGAGGCAGGAGAATGGCGTTAACCTGGGAGGCGGAGCTTGCAGTGAGCCCAGATAGTGCCACTGCACGCCAGCCTGGGCGACGGAGCAAGACTTGGTAAAAAAAAAAAAAGAATTATATTAAATAATATTGGTGGCAAGATATTCTTTTCAATAAAAGGTTCTGGATGAATTGGATCCTCTCATGAAAATAAATAAAACTTGACCTTTATCTCACATCATACATAAAGATCAATTTCATGTTGATTGTAAATCCAAAATATGAAAGGCATAAAGTTAAAACTTTTAGAATATATTTTAAAATATCTTCATGAATTTGGGGTAGGTAAATGGGACACAAAAGCCCTAAATTAAAGGAAGATAAAAATAAGTTGGGTAATATTAAAATTAAGAATTCTGTTTATGAACTATAAGCATTAAAAGAATTAAAAACAAGCTACAGAGAAGAAAATATTTTCAACTTATATAATTTACAAATGGCCCATATCCAGAATATATAAGAAAATCCTACATATCAGAATAGAAAAAGCAGAGCAAGGACTTACCAAAAGCGGACATCCAAATATTCAATGAGCATGAAAAGGTATCAAGCATTAATAATAGTAAAATGCAAATTAATATGACAATGTGATATTCTAATACCTATCAGTATAACATAAATGAAAGAATCAATAAAAGAACTATGACTGCACTCAATAATAATCTCATAAAACCAATGTTGGGTGTAAGAAGTCAGACATGTAAGTATAAATACTGCATGACTCCTTTTACAAAAGTTAAAAAACAAAACAGGCAAAACTAGTCTATAGTTTTAGAAACTGGGTTAAGGGTTATATTGTGTAGGATGAAAAAGTATAGGAATTGGGAATCAACATAAGGGAATTATCCTTTTTTTTTTTTGGTAATCTTTTTTATTTTGACTTGGATAGTCAAGATATCAGAGACTTGTTCACTTTGAGACATTCATGAATGCTCTAGTTATTGATTTATATAATTCTCCATGTTGTTATACTTCAATTAATTAGGAAAAAAATTAAAAGAGAAAGAAAAAAATGCAAGGAAGACACTAAAGGAAAAAAAGAAAATTTGCCAGGCTTAATAAATGATACAAGAATTTAAATCAAAGATATTCACAAATTGGCATGCAGAAGAAATTTTAAAAGCCCCACATGTAAGTTTACTTTCTGAATTGTCAATGTTATAGGAATAAGGAGAGTTATTAAAAACTTCAAGATTGTAAAAAAAAAAAAAAAAAGCAGGTTAGCACCAAAGAAGCAAGGCTAAGACCTATATATTTATCAAAAGCTGTGGGTCATGGAAGATAAAGATAAAACAACCTCAGATTTTTAAGAGAAGTGCTATTCAAGCTGGTATTCATCTCTGAGACAAACTGTCCATCAATTATAAATGAAAATAAATGCATTTTCGTAAATGATAGCATTTTAAACAACTCTCCTCCATGTACTATTTCAGAAGCAGAGCTCAAGAAAATGAAATCCTAAAAGGACAATTCTGAACAGGCATTGAAAGTAGTTATAAGACTAAACATCAGTGGCTCTAAAATGCATATCTAAAAGACATTGGCTAGTGAACAGTCGAGTAATTATATAAAAAGCTGGAATATACTAGTGATGTATATATATATTATATATACATAAATGTTTCTTTTTCTTACAAGATAAAATAGTTGAAAATTAGAAAAGTCAGGAAAAACAAACACACAAAACAAAACGACAACAAAACATGAGTAATAGAAAGTCAAGGTCTACATATGAGGCAAGGGAAAATGTGTTATTCTTGGGAACAATTAATGAAATATAAGAAAATAAAATTTTGTTTGTCCTTGGTATTAGGAACACTCCACTGTGAGCAACACTCTTGTCCTGACCTTGGACCTTATAGAGGCTAGTAAATTGAAGAAGGAAATGCTTCTTAGCTTTCCTGTGGGTTTTGCAATGAGAAATATTTATATACACAGATTTATGTAAATGTTTATTGGTTTTTAACCTTCAGAAATCATCTGTGGACAAAAGACTAAGTGCCTAATTATTTTTAAAGGACAAATGACTAACCCTGATAAGATAAGGGTAGGGAGCTGTAACTATTGAAAAATGGAGTGGGTGGTAGAAAAGTGCTAATATTCATACCTAGTAAGGAAAATAAGAGAGAATGTCTAAAGGAGATTCAGTAAGAAATAGAGAACATGTATCACTTACAGTTACAAAATAATCTGTCGAAACACTAAAAATAATTAAAAATTTTGATATAGTGGGTATGAGGAACGATAGAGGAAGTGGCAGTAAGTTAAATTTATTGCGCCCCCATCTTTCATTGCAAGAGGCAAAGATAATAGAAAAGCTCATATATTGTGAAAGAGTTCTATATGCATATTTTTAAAATTATAGCCATTACTATCAGATAACCAGTAACTGATATGATTAAATGAAAACTTGAAAAGGTTGTGAAGGGAATGGGAACTACTGATTTTGAGTTTAAATTCTGGGGTATTACTTTTCTTCTGTGTTTAAAAATAATAGGAGTTTATAATTTTGAATTATCTGCTTTCCCTTTAATATGAAACATTTAATAATACTTCTTCAGATCCTCCTTTTTCTGTGTTTTGTCATTGAAATGACCAATCTTCAGAGTAGTAACAAGGTCATTTTCCTATCTGACCATAACAAGATAAACCTCTTAAATTCCCTTTCCAAATTAGTTGGTTGATCTTCTTCATGCTTTAGAAGAATTTTGCCATACTTTGCCCTGGTAGTATTCCCACTCTTTTGGGTCAATTAGTGCCTCTCTCCTCACTCATTCCCAAAAGGTGGGGAAGAGAATTAAGCAAAGTCAAAAACAAGAACCTGTGAGTTTGCGAGGTCTTGTTGCAACCAAATTTGTATGATTTCTGCTTCTGGTTGCTGTGATGGCCCTTTCTACCATTATTTAATCAATGAGTCTTATTAATTAACCTAGTCAATGTGAAAAGGGAAAGCTAAAGGGGAATATGTGGAACACACTAAGAGTAAACTTCTATTCATTATGCTGTGTTCTCCTTTCAGTCTGGGACTACATTCCCTAAAACATTAAATGACCTCCATTTCTCCCTTACATTTCACCAGTCAAGTCATGCAGAAATAATTTCTCAATAATTGTCCATTAAATAAGTTGCAATTTAGAAGAAACCAGATATAATTTATAGCTATGAGAGAAAAACAATATATGCAGCAGTTTACCAAATGAGTACCTGGCAAAAGATAAGACAACATAATTTGCCAAAAGAGTTACTTTCCTTTATGTGACAGGAGACAGTTCATCGTCATATTGCTTCAAAAAGACACTGACATTTTCTTTATGAAAAAATGTTTTTTTTTCTTAAACATGGATTTTACCTGAAACTTTCTTTTACATGTCATTTGTCCTGAACAATGCAGAAGTAGTTGCTGGGGCCAAACACAGTATGATACTGATCAATCAATGGCATTTTTGACTAATGATGTAAAGCGCATTTCTGACACATTTCCAGTTGTTTCCATTTTATATAATAGCATCATGTGCATTCAGCATAAGAACAGCTGCTCATTAAATTTGCTATCAATCTTTCGTTAGGTACACTTAAAGATGTTGAGGAAATTACATCTGTAATGATGTAATCTCCCAATTGTTGGTTTTTATCTTCCCTGTGGTGCTACTAGTATTGACATCAGCAATCTGACTTTAATTTGCATTGTCTAGGTAGTATATCATAGGATCCCTAAAACTGAGGAAATCCCATACACTGTGTTGTTTTCATAAACTGATATAATACTTGTATTAGTCCATTCCACACTCCTATGAAGAAATACTTGAGACGGGGTAATTTATAAAGGAAGGAGGTTTAATTGGCTCACAGTTTTGCAGGGCTGGGGAGGCCTCAGAAAACTTACAATCATGGCAGCAATCATGTCCTTCTTTACAAGGCAACAGGAAGGAGAAGTGCAGAGCAAAAGGAAGGGGAAAGCCCCTTATAAAACCATCAGATCTCTTGAGAACTCACTCACTATCATGAGAACAGTGTGGGGGAAACCACACTACTCATTCAATTATCTCCACCTGGTCCTGCCCTTGAAACGTGGGGATTATTACAACTCAGGATAAGATTTGGGTGGGGAAACAGCCAAACCATATCAGGACTCAATGAGAAATTTCAACAATTATTATAAATGTGTATTTTATCAAAATTCCATTAAGGAATCACAATGTGACATATAACAATAAAATTGATTATAGCTAACGATTTTATTAAAAAATGAGTGGGAGACATCTTAAGAAACTAGGTAGTTCCAATTATTCATTTGTTGAACTTAATTCATTCACAGCAGAATAGTTAATAGAAATGACTTGTGTCGGAGTGCCTGGGTTTAAATATTTGGTTGGTAATTTACTAACAATGTAGTACTCAATTTTTAAAATCTGTAATAGGGGAATAATAATTTACCTTTAATAATAAGATTGTTATAAATATTAAATAATATGTAAAATTTGTAAACCATGTAAAGTAGCATATAATATGGATTATGTAAATGTGTGCCCTTAGTCCTTCTTTAATCATCCAGGTATTTTATTTATTCAACAAATAGTTATCAAGCATCTGCTATATGCTGATAGGTACTTAATAATTCCTAATCATTTCAGATATTACAAGAATCTCGGATACATTACTTGAGGACAGTATAGATTCCAGAAGTAAGTACTATTTGCTAACTATTTTGTATAAAAAAATTAAGTGATTGTGAAAGGCAAAGATGTTCAATATGCGTTGCTGCCAAAGAGAAAACAGTGTTATTTATCATAATATATATATATATATATCTCATACCAAATGCAGAAAAAGAGGTTTAGGGGGCAAAAGCAACAGAGTGCTTTTATTATGGTAACAATGACTTTGACAATATATTATTAGCTGTTTCTGCATCTCATTTCATTCTTTCTCATAACAATTTATCCATTATGTCTACAGTTAAGATTCCCACGAGATAAAACTACATGGGTACTTTGTGATGGTCTGAAATATCACACAATGGAAAGTCTTGGCATTTAGTAAATAATTTCAGCAATTTTCTATCACACAACATGAAGATACTGTTTAATCTTTAATATTGTGAAGAATAGATTTGTTCCCAAGTAATAGTCTTTCTCCAAATGTAGGAACTACTAGAGATGAATCTGGAGAACTCCAAGGAATCAGCAATAACCATACTTGTTGACCTTCATGCTATAGTGTATGTGAAATGTTTCCATTCAGCCAGCCCTCACTAAAACCACCTTGTGTGTTATCAGTATATATCATTTAAGGGGACTTCTCCATCTTTTCTCCCTTCACTGCCCACCTACTCCTGATTCATTTTCCATAGGCAATATCTCATGCTTATTGACCCTTTCACAAGCCTCAGAATTAAAATAACTATTTGGGGTCTTACATCCATGACAATCTGGAAACAAGCATATTGGTGACAGCACAAGGGTTAATGTATGAAGAACTTCAAGAAAATGTTGACTTTCATCAAGAGATGCCAGAGTGACTATGTGAAGTTAAAACATTAAATTGAAAGAAAGCTGATATTCATGAGAATTTCAAGTAATCATGTAGCCATTAAGGCAGAGATTTTTGAATAGGCAAGAGAGCCTGACTTACACTGTACCTATCCAGTGTCTACCATATTCTAACTAGTTAAATTTTTGAGATTGAAGAGGGCATTTAAATCAAGCCCTGCATCCTACTGAAATACTTGGGCACATTGCTTTAAACATCCGTTGAGTTTTTTGCTCATACTGTTCCCCTATGGCACAATACTGAGCTCATTATTCTCATCTCATTCAAATTCTCTCATTCTTTAAGAAGTAGTTTAATTCTCTTAACTCCCCCAAAGGCCTTCTTAAACATCTTCACCTGAAATAATTTCCAGGATCACTATGCTCCTAGAGTATTGTTACCACGGTAACTAGTATCTTTATGACTACTAAGAAATGGCCTTCTATATCTCATTTGCACTGTAATTGTGTGACATATCACTTCTGTGTCTTATTTCTCCATGAGACAACAGGATCTGTTTTGGGAGACTGTAATGTGTTGCACAAAACACTGGAAAATTTTTGGAACCAGAGACGTGCTATGCATTCTCTCAGTGACCTTTAGCAAATGATTCAATCTCTGTAAGTCCCAGTCCTTTTATTTACAAGAATGAGTTGGACATCCATCTTTACATTTAAAAGACTTGGCATAGCCCAGATGGTAAGGGCTCAAAATTTGTCAATCTCAACTTCTTTTTTTTTTAATCAGAGGCCATATCTTGTATTGCTTTTTTCTCTGCAGTACTTATATTAGTGTCTTGCCATTTACTTTGAAACACAAGTGTATGGAATTGATTTTGCTTAATAAAGAAAAAGAAAATGTGCCTTGCTAAAGTATGGCAAAGGAACTATGTGAATATTCTTATATATAACATGAAGACTTGTCCCACTGCTATTGATTGCAGGGAAGCTGTATCCGCAGCTAGATTCTGATGGTGCCCATCAATCAGAAATGGTCTGAACTGAATAGATTAAAAACATTAGGCAGCCAATGAGGAAAGAGGCAGAACATTAAACAAATTTAGGTTTTTCCAGCAGTATTCTAAGTCTCCAACTGGAGAACAAATTACACATATTCTTACTAGTGAAAGAACTTTAAGTCATGTGGTTTTCTTTTAAGCCTCATTTATTTATACAAATCACACAATCAATTATAATACCCTTGTAGGAGAAGAATTGCATATCTTCAAATGCTGAAATAGATTCGAATGCAAACTACAGTGCAGTTTTGCCTCATGCAAAACAGCTCTCTCGATTCACATCATGTTTCTTTTCGCTCCCACTTGTGATTATATTTTCTTGTGCTTGACATACTGAACTGGAATAAACGGGATATTTTTGATGCTAGAGATGTTGACAACTGATATAATTAGGATGTGGAGTGAAATTATTTTGATTTGGGGTTCAGTTGTTCCAAGCAGGAGGGTCGTGGATAAAAACACAGGAGCTTTTCTTGTCCACTTCATCCACATCGCCTGGAAAAATCAATTGTTTGACAATTGAAAGTGGAGCCCACTCCTGTTCAACAGCAGGTATTGACAGGTAGTGATTAGACACCCAAATGCAACTGTTTTTTTCCAGCCTGACTGCAGGCATTGATTGCTGTGGAATTCTAGCTCTGATTGCAGTGGAATTTGATTTAGATATATGGAATATAGCAAATTACAAGTTAGGTCGGAAAATAAACATCAACTATCCTTTTGTATTTTTAAGGTGGTGTTTTAAGGCCTATAGCCTGAGGTCATAATAGACATTGTAATTACCTCATATTCTTCTTATGTCTCCTCTCCACCAAGGTAAAGCAATTGGAATGTGTTCTTTAGCAAGGATTCTATTTTTCTAAGTAAAGCTAAGTAATTCTATGCATCATACATGTCTATGAAGTGTATGTTTGGCCTTAAGGTGAATAGGAGTAAACATTTTGGTAGTAATGCAAAAAGGTTAATTTGATCTTGGGCTGGTGAACGTTGTGTGATGGTGGATGAACCCAGTGACCTCTGGGGTCATATGATTTCATAGCTGGAGAGGGGTGAAATTGACATCATTGTTATTAATAGGAAGAGGCTGGATAAAAACGCCAGGGTTCTCTAAGCTGTACATAAGTGAAGAATTTCTTTGTTCAGCAAAACTGCTGTGTGCAGCCAGGGGTGGTTAAAATACATTACACTGAGATTCTGGAAACCTAGGTTCTCTTCCTTGCTGGTTCTCTAACTAGCAATGTGACCTCGGCCAGTCAATTAACCTCTCTGCATTCCTTTCCTTGCATACAAAACAGGGAGAACAATACCTGCTTTTTCTGACTTTCAGGATTGTTTTCCAATTCGACTAAGATAAAACATGTGGAAGTGTTTTGGAATGTGTTGTGCAGCATACAAATGGAAGTTAATAATCATTGCCAACTCTGTTTATGACTCCTTTTCTTTCAAAGGCTGTCCTTGCTCAAAATGAGTCATTCCTCTTACTGCAATTACTTCAAACTGATTATGCGTTCATTTTTTTCCCCCAAGCATTCCACAGCCACACCACATCCACTGTAGGTCTCTTGCTTGTGTCCTTACAATTTTTCTTTTGTGTACTGCCTTATGTCTTTCCAATCAAGCTTGCCTGTCATTCAGTAGTTGTTTTTGGACATAGATATTGCCCATTAAATATGTTTTCTCAGCACAGTAGAATTAACTTTTAGTAAATGATGTATCTGTATTTGACACTGCACCATGTTCCCAGACCTTGTTCTTAGCCATATGCTGTTATAAATGTGCTGAATGACACATGGCTCATAGGTGATATTAAGAGACCAGATATGGCTATTCTAAGAATTCCATGTCTAAGAAAGCTTCACCTTACTGCAGCTGGTAAGTCAATATTTTATGATAAGAAGTTTGATATTCTGTACATCCCCCCCGATGGTTACTTTATCCTACTTGGTCCCTAGAAAATCAGGCCAAGAAACATACCTAATTGTTTCTTTTATGTACTTGCAGGGCCTCAAACCCTGCCTCCAGATCTGTTTCCATTATCTGACTCCTGCTTTTAAATCAGTTAGATTTACTATGGAACAGCAGTGTTGTCAGAACTTACCAATATATACCTTAGAACGCTAAACATTTACAACATTAACAGGATTGATAGAATACTGTTAATGACAGGTAAGTTTAGCAGGATATGCAAATGAAAGATTTGGGGACAAGATCTCCTCCCCTTCTAGAGTCCATATTCATAAACCTTTGGGAATTTCATTTACCTAAATAGGTCCTTCTTCACCATATCAAAGTATCTGGTGTCAGCCTGCGTGACAGGGCATGAATGATGGAAAGCAGCCCCAGAGTGGGTCTACCTAACATAACAGGTCCCATGAATGGAAATCAGCTGAGGGAAGCACAGAACTTGCTGCTGCTGCCATTGCTCATTCACTACTTCATTTCTTACTCAAACTCTAAACTTCACTCCAGATTATCATAATCAGTTCCACCAAAAAGCTTACCACACGGGTGTTCTGGGAAATTATTAGAAACAAGAGGCTGTGAGTCCACTGTATACCAGGGCTGCGTCTGTGCAACTGACTTCATACTAGGCTCTTTGTGTCTGTACTTGGGTTGTAGTTGTTTTTAGAGCCACGGACTCATGTTCTCTGGTAAGGAGTTTTCATGGCCAAGCCCATCTGCCATGCCCTGGAAAATATAAGAACAGAGACCTTAGCCATGGTCCAAATTGCTAACTTTTGGGGATAACTGCTAGCTCAGGATTCATAGCCTATGATCTCCTATAGGCTGGGGGTTGTTGGCCGGAGGAAAAGAGGTAGTTTCACAAAAAGTAGATTTGAAGATGGGAAGATAATTACTCGGATATACCTTACGATTGATGTAACATCTGACTGAGAAATTATCCTTGGACTATAAAATATTTGAGCTCTTTCAAAATATAGCAAGTCATATTTTCTCTGACTGACTGAGTACATCATCTTAAAACTACACTCCCTGAGATTGGTTTCACATAAGCCACATTTGGATGGCTTTAGAACTAACTGTAGGGACAGCATTTCTAGACATAACAGAACACTATGTTTATAAATCCAAATGTCAACTTCCAAGGTTATATTCTTGAAGACCAGATATGAATGAGATTAGCAAAGAGATACATTTTCTTAGAAGTCACAAATCTGGGTTACATGGGCATGCAAAGATTTTTGATATTTCATTGATATCTGCCATAGATTCAGACACTACTTATTTAGTCTTTATTACTACCCTAAAGACAGGGAGAGAGTTGGAATCTTAAATATATTTGAAGTACTTTTAGAGGCAAAAGGCCTTTTTTTCAGTATTAGCTAGAAGACGACAGACTCCAGCTGCTTTATAACTTGTAGGGAAATTAGAAAACTTGTTTTCCTAATCTCTGGCATGTGGGCAGCCTGCATTATCTTTCCCTCCCTCCCTCTCTTCTGCTGGCCCCATTTGGCACTATTATCTATTAGACTTGCTCCATATATCAGTAGGCATCTAGAAGAAAGTGTGGCAAAGCACATTTGCTTTTCCTTGGCCATTCGCCTCTTGTGCCCAATATCAAAGGCCAGTTTATTAAACTGAGACATAAATTCACAAATTTTGGAAAAATATCAGTGTGGTGTTTAATTTTATGTGCACCTTGGCTAGGCCATGGCACCCAGATATTTGGTCAAATATTATTCTAGATGTTTCTGTGAAGGGGTTGTTAGATGAGATTAATATTGAAATCAGTAGACCTTGAGTCAAGCAAATTGCACTCCATAATGTGGGTAGGCCTCAACCAATCAGTTGAAGGCCTTAAGAGAAAAAAAGACTATACTCCCAGGAAAAGAGGATTCTGTTGGAAGATTAACTTCATACTTGAACTGCAACAAAATCAGCTCTTCCCTGGGTCTCCAGTCTGCCACCGACCCTGCAGAATCTGGAATTGCCAGCTTCCATTATAATGTATACCAATTCCTTAAAATTTCCAGATAGATAGATAGATAGATAGATAGATAGATAGATAGATAGATAGAAAGATAGATAGATAGATAAAGACATGTATCTAGCTATACACATTCTATTGGTTCTGTTTCTTAGGCAAACCCTGACTAATACATTCAGGTAATTTCAGAATTATCCACATATAAGGAAGAATATTTATAGTTTCAGTGAACTTAGGTTTTCTCCTTTCCTGCATAGGGGAAGTGAAGATTTGGTCCTTCATAAAGAGCGTGTCCTCCCAGAAGCTTCTCCACTCTTGACTTGGCTCCACCACTGCAGTTTGCCTACCTCACAACATGCAGGACTTCAATTATTATTCATTATCATCATCATTTTGGCTATGAAAGCCAAAATGTAAAAATCTCATGCCTTCTACAGACGTGGATTTTGTTTCTTAGGTCCTTCCTAGGCTCATGTTTTCAAAGGTCATCTTCTCAACTTTTTCACAAGCCTTCAGAACGATATTGGATTCCTAGCCATGAGAGCAAGTTTGAAAGTAGGTCATTGAATTCTAATTCATTCTCCTCAGTGGTAAGAGCTCTGCACATGCCAATTCTTTTACTAAATGACCTTTTCTAAAATCACATTTACCCAAATGCATTTTTTTCTTGATTAAAAAAAAGCCTAATTTTGTATTAAGAAAATGATGTTTATGGAATTAGGCTCTTAACAGTAAATAGACACCCAGTGCTCAGTTAAGGACACACACACACACAGAGACACACACACAGACACACACACACAAACCAAACAGAAGTAACACACATAGCATAGTAGTTTTCAGTAACCATCCTTTTGTTGCCATAGAGATGGAGCAGACTTTTTTCATTTTATTTTAATTCAATTTCTTTCTGATAAAAAGCAGGATAATTTTTATCAATTATTTTCCCTATAAATCTTTTCCTCCACCTTGGCTTACTCTTACTGTTTTGTTATACGGGTTCTACTAATAAGCCTGCCTTGTTAGAGGTGGCCATCTACTGAATCTGGGGAGCACATGTGACAGTGCAGCAAAGATGGCTGGAAAGTGGTGGCAGAAAGAGGCAGAGACCCTATTGATGAAATTTTCTGACATCCAGATGACCTAAAGTAGGTGGAAGCAAGAGATAATATCTACTACCGATATCACTGTCATAGCATAAAGCTGTGTTACGTGACTAGCCTATGTAATGCTAAGTCCAGACACTGTGAAAGTGCCTACTTGTTGGAGCTTGCTTTCCTGGGGCCATGGCCTCAGGTTAGTGGTCTCTGCCTCTGTCTATCTCTTTCCAGCCATCTATACTGCAGTGTCAAATGAGTTCCCCAGATTCAGTAGGGTCATAAATGATCATTGCTCACACACTTCCCACCCTCGCTTGGTTCTCTATTCCATGTACTATTAAATGTTACCACACTTTACTTCATACCCTTAAGTTAGAAACCAGGGTGGTACTTTCACTTCCTCTTCTCCTGTGTTCTCCTGTATCTAATCCTTCTACAATTTCTGTTCATTCCTCATTCTTACTGACTCTCAAATATGTCCTCTTTTTATTACAGGTCTACTGAATCCATGTTTTATTATTTTAATTATTTAACTTTATTTTCAGAGCAGTTTAGGTTCACAACAAAATTGAGTAGAAAGTACAGAGAGTTCTCATATACTCCCAGGCTTCCTTCTGCATGACCTCCGCCATTGCCAACATCCCCCACCTGAGTGGCACATTTGTTACAACTGATGATCCTGTATTGATATATCACTATCACCCAAAGTCCATAGTTTACATTAGTGTTCACTCTTGGTGTTGTCCATCTAATGGGTTTTAACAAATGTATAATGATGTGTATTCATCTCTATAGTATCATACATCATACGAAATAATTTTACTGCCCTAAAAATATTCTGTGCCTCACGTATTCATGCCTCCTTCCCCCTTAACTCTTGGCAAACCCTTATCTTTTTTCTTTCCCCATAGTTTTTTCTTTTAACGTTCATTTGTTTTTACATAGGATATGCATGCTTGTTTTAACAGATTTTCATATCTCCTAACAAATCTCCCTTCCTATTAAGTTTTCATATCAAAAGTTTATTTTTTTGATGCGCAATTTAATCATGCCAGGGTCATACTTAAGTGACTCTCATTGTCTCTAGTGTAAAGCCCTCATCTCGTAGTGATTTAAAACCCTTGAAAAGCATTCTGCTTACCTCTTTTCCTTCATTTCATGCAAATTACAAGTCTGAATAATATATTCCTGCCATACTAAAGTATTTAGTATGTGTACATACTTGCCTGTGTACATTTACTGATTATTTTATTTTCCCTTTTTTAGGAATACGTTTGTTCCTTTCATCATCTGAGAAAACTAAACTGATTCTTCAGGTTTTAGCATAGTGTCTCTTTCTCTCAAAGAAAGCCAGGGTAATCTGAGACCTTGAGTTTTTAGATAGAATCCTGCATTTTGCCTCCTTATGGTACAGGAACACTATGTTGAAAATAACTGCTCTCTAATTGGTCTTCTTCATTAAGCCATAGGGTCCTGGAAGGTAGGGGTTTTATTTTGTTGTTATTGTTGCTCCAGTACCTACCACAAGGCCTGGCTTTCAGAATTCCATATACACCAATTCTTCTTTGGTCTTAGTGAAATTCAAAGCAGTACTAATACAGAAACAATTAGTTTGAGTAATTTGCTTACAGAACTGATGTAAATAGTCAAGTTGCCTTCATATCTTAACATTGCTAGGTTTGGCACTGAAATAAAAATATTCCAGACTAGAACATTATTTCCTTCCTAGCAAATTACTTCTTTGCTTAAAAAACAAGGGAGATTTTTAGAAAATAGATAGAAATAAAGATCGTAGTTGTTTTATAGTGGATCTGATCGTATAGGATATTTTTTACATGTTCTCAGTCAGTCTAAGAATATTCGATGTGCTTAAATCCTAGGGTTATAATCTTTATATTTTATTTTTTGGAACTAAACATAACAATTTTTGATGTGGGTTATAAAGAAATGTAATAAATACATTAAATGTCTAATAAACTTTGCTAAGAAAATTGCTAAAATCTAACAGCTACTAGGTTTCTTAGTTAATAAGATTACTTGAAGGTTCAATCAATTCTTCTAATTCAGATATTGAAATCTCCTTGGTGCTATTGGAATGATTCTTTATAATAGTTGAGTTTCAAAAATTGAAGACATACATGGTGTATTTATCACTATTACTGGTTCTTTTTTCTTTTAACTCCATTGAAAATGTCTAGAGAGTTGACTGGATTAGTCTCCTTTTTCATGGTTCAACATCATTATACATTTAAGGTGTCTCTGTTCCTTGTATCCCCACTTATCTTTTTCTCATCTCCTTTCCCACCAAGGCTACCTTTAGAAAAAGTTTTATAAGTGCCCATAGATATGTGTACATGTGTATTTATTTTACGCAAAGTATCATATCATAGAAACATTCATTTTCTTAACTTATACTCAAAATTATTCACAAAAGTAAATATGCATCTTCTTACCTACGAAACTGCTGAAGAGTATACCATAAAATTGTATTTAACTTATCTACTTACCTGAAATACAGGAAGCTGTTCCAACTTCCCATTACTATAAACAGTGCTGCATTCATATCTTCTTTCAAACGTGAATTGCTGGGTCCTGGGAATGTGCATTCTCAATTTCTTTGAGCAATGTCAGATTGTACTCTGGATTGGCTACTTTGGTTCATACTCCTGACAGAAGAGAATGCTGGTTCCTATTGTCCACATATTCTCCAGCACTCGATACAGACACTGTTTGTAATAACAGATTTAAAAATATTTTTTAAATGCTCTGTGGCACATGACTGAGGTGTGTCTACCTAACTTATTAAAGCTCCCTTTTAGCTCTTCTCTTGTACATTTTCTCATCTACTCATACCTTAATATCTAATATGTCATGTAAGCTCATTTTAATTCTTCAAATACAAATGCATGATAATCTTCCTTAGGGTAGAAACTATATTATGTATATATATATATATATATTTTTGCCAACAGTACTTGAGACATGCACACATTTTTCTATTTGTTTTATGATTATTTCTTTTCCCTTTCTATAATTGCTGATCACCTTTGAAATAACAATTAGTGGGAATTTATTATTATCCTAATAGTAGAATAGAAAAGCAAATTTTAAAGAAGATCACCCTTAAAACTCATTACTGTTTTATTAAACTATAATTTTAAAACACACACATACACATGCACACAGGTAGAGCATGCTTTTGTCCTTGAAGAGGATAATTATTTACTTTTGTGCTCAAAAATTTCTGTACACATTTTTTCTCTTTTGTTGTTTCGTTTTATTTTTTCATGTTTGACTTTAACTTCCTACTCTATTTTTTGTTTCTCTAATCTTGTGCTGACTTAGGTTACAAATAATGGAAATGCATGTGTGGTTTCTTCTCCTATTTGGTCATTCTTGAAATAGTGGGTTTGTGTATAATAACATGCATTCTTCTTTTTCAAGGTAACCATAGAAACAAGATCTGTAGCGTACAACGAGCTTTAGAATTTAGATGATTTGAAACAAGAACAAATATACCCCCCAACACGGAAGGGAATACTCTTGACTTTATCCTTCCCCCAGTGAGTTAGGGAAGTAGGCTTTATGTACGTGATACAAAAAAAAAAAAAACATACTTCTCTAAATTATGTGAAAATGTTTTAAACCCAATAAGCATGGAAAACTTGATTGGGTGTTTTGTTGATACAAAGTGATATAGAATCAGTGACTTCAGATCAGTGATGATAAAATGTGATGTTTCAGGAAATAGAATAAATATAATACCTAAACTAAGTAATGGATCATCTTCCTAAAAGCAGTTGCCAGAAATAATTATGATATGAAACAGGTTAATTTTTATCTGCAGCTAATTGGTCCAAAAGTACTTAGGAATACATACGAAGCTTAGCCCTATACGGTCAGCCTGCCCTGCCCTTGATCTAACCAAACATTTACATTGCTACAATGGATCTATTCTGAATTAACAAAAGGAGGCTCCATTATAACTTTTACTAATCATTAACATTAGTATTGTATTTTTTGTTCTTAAAAATCTTAAATTCTGTTCAATTGGAATCCAACTGAAATCAGTCTCCCCCTTCCTTGTGTTATATTAGTCACACTGATCTTTTTTCCCCTAGAATGTATCATACTCATTTCTGGCTCAAAAATCTTCACTCTTCGCTTTGCACAGTCCACCCTCTAATTCTCTGTAAGACCTGTCTCTTCTCAGTTTTCAGCTGCTGGTTGAAATTAAGCCTAGCTACCAGAAGTTACCCCATCACCATATCTAAATAACCTCATGACCCTCATCTACACAATCATTAATTTTCTATTACATCAACTTGCTTTCATTTCATAACATTGATCACTCTCTGCTAGAATCACTTTTATGTATGCACTTATTGTCTATGTCTGTCTACTAGAATGTAAGCTCCACTAGCACAGGTTTTCTCTCTATTGACTTAAGTGTCCCATCTGCTGTTCCCACTCATAACTGCCAATTTACTCAGCTCATGGGATGGTGCCACCATCTGCGGACAGAAAGATGAAAAATAAGAGGAATTTTCCTGTGAAGAAACTCACAGACTTCACAGACTGAAGACAAAGGTAGTCAAATAAATTAATGATTATGGGATATTATTTATCCTGGGCTTACAATGGTGTTGCCAATAAAAGAAATGTATCTAAATGAAACTAGCTTGTCAAGGGAGATAGTCTGGAGCCAACTTGCATCAAATCATATTGATAAAAGGTAGAATCTCAAACTTGAAATCTTGCAAAGATGGAAGCCACAGGCAAAAGTAGTCATAGAAGGTGTATTATATTATAATACCTATTTATTCTTACACATAGTTATACTGTCAAAGCATTCACTTCTGAAATTGAAAGATTTTCCATAGGCATGGGTAGATTAAATACTGTACGAAAGAGGACATTAAATTTATATAGATATATTACAGTCATACCTTAAACTAATGTATGTATATATAAATACATAAATATAATCATTCAGGAATCTATATACAATTATATATACATACATCAAAATGTCCAAATAAATCACACTTAAAATTTAGTCTCTTTTGTATATTTACATACATCCAGAAAGTCTGTAAAATTAACTGTTTTATTTTCTTAGTAAATACACAAAAATTATGGTTCTTTTGATTAAGAAAGTAATATCCTTGAACAGCATAGTATAGATTATCTAAAAATCAATATTGCCTTTATTTAAGGTAGCATTTCCTAGTGCTGAGATTGTAGTGATATATTTTGCTGTCTCTATCTTCAAAGTTAAATTTGCAGGTTGTTCCATATGATTTCTTATTGAGTGGATTCACACTGCAAAGACATTTAGAAATTCCTTGAATCAGAACATGAAGTGTGCTTTAACTAGAAAACATTCAGGATACAGGTTTATTTTTGCTAGTGACCAGAGTTTATATTTAGATATTTGTGATCAAGAGCTCAAAACAGTTTGTGTGCTGGTGTTACAAAGCCCTGCCACCTATCATTCAAGGTAATGGCAGAAAAAGCCACACCTGCTCAGAAGCAGAAATAGCTGTGTGTGTTGTAGAAGGAGGGAAGAATGTAAGGTGTCATTCTTTCCTCTGAATGGAAGTGTAATGTGTGGCTCATCTATTCCATGAACATGACTTGTCTAGGCAACATTGCAGCCAATACAGCATATACATAAACATAAAGAAAGAGAAAGAAGACACTAAATACTGTCTTCAACCACAGAGAGCCAATGCTGTCATTCTCTGCCTTGGCATCCGCATAGAAAGAGATGAGATAGAGCAATACATACTTACAGACATGGATAATATTCACATTTAAATCAATGTAACCCACAAGGTATATATAGTTTTTTTGTTTGTGTAGATTTAGTTTTTTACTTTTCACATATTGTCGGTATATTTAAATGTAGTTTCACTAAAAGTATTTTATCTTGTAGATTTAACCTGATGTATTAAATACTGACTTACTTTTGGAAATTTAATGCTTCCAACTTTTAATATAAGTAATGTTGTCATGAATGGTTTGGGGCATACGTTTTTGAGATACATGTAATTATTCTTTTAAATACAATCACAGGAAGGAGGTTACTGGGAGAACTACTTATATTTTTAAAACTGGTAAGTACAAATAACACAATTTTGACTGATTTAGTTTATTGGGCATATCTGGCTCAGGTATCTCACTAGCTGTCATTAGAGAAAATTTAAACTTAGAGCACCGTAGCAACCAAAAAAAGTAAATAATGATCAAGTGAGAATAAGAGCCTTTAGAGTGCAGAAGAGAGACAAAAATTATCTTCAGGTTGTTCTCACTAGAAGAAAATGATAAATGTTTGAGGTGATGGATTTGCTAAATACCCTGATTTGAGAATTACACACTGTATATATGTAAGGAAACATTACACTTTACTACAAAAATATCTTTTTCACTTATGTGTCAATTAAAAGTAAAATAAAGCTTTAAACAACCTTCAGACAAATGAAAAGGAAACTACAACACACATAACTTATGGGATGTGGCAAAAGCGGTACTAAGAGGAAAACTTATAGTGATAAATGCCTACATTAAGAAAGATAAAAGATCTCAAACAAGCTAACTTTACACCTCAAGGAAATAAAAAAAGAAAAAAGCCTGAAGGTAGCAAAAAGAAGGAAAATATAGCAATTAGGGCAGAAATAAACCAAATAGAGACTAGAAGAAAAAATGCAATAGATCAATGAAATATTTGGCTTTTTTGAAAGATTAATGGAATTGACAAGTCTTTAGCTAAACTAGTGTATTAGGGTTCTCTTAGAGGGATAGAACTAACAGGAGATATATATATATATATATAGGATATATATATCCTATTATACTTGAGATATATATATTATATATTATATATATATATATAAGTTTATCAAGTATTAACTTACACTATCACAAGGTCCCACAATAGCCTGTCTACAAGCTGAGGAGCAAGGAGAGCCAGTCCAAATCCCAAAACTGAAGAATTTGGAGTCCGACGTTCGAGGGCAGGAAGCATCCAACACGGGAGAAAGATGTGGGCTGGGAGGCTGGACCTGTGTCTCTTTTTTATGTTTTCTGCCTCCTTTATATTTGCTGGAAGCTGATTAGATTGTGTTCACTGGATTAAGAGTAGGTCTGCCCTCCCCAGCCCATTGACTCAAATGTTAATCTCTTTTGGCAACACCCATACTGACACACCCAGGATTAATACTTTGTATCCTTCAATCCAGTCAAGTTGACACTCAGTATTAATCATTGCAAGTAGCTAAGAAAAACAGAAGACAAATAAAATTAGAAGTGAAAAATGAAGACATTATGACTGATGCCACAGAAATACAAAGGATCACACTAGAAAATATGAACAATTATAAACCAACAAATTTGTTAACTAGAGGAAATAAATAAATTACTAGAAATGTACAACATACAAAGACTAAAATGGGAGAGAATAGAAAATCTGATCAGGCCAATTACAAATAAGAACATTGAATCAGTAATAAATAGTCTCCCATCAAAGGAAAGCCCAGGACTGAGTGGCTTTACTGCTGAATTGTACCAAACATTTAGAGAGGACCCAATATTAACCCTTCTCAAACTTTTCTAAAAAAGTGAAGAGAACATATTCAAACTCTTGATGAGACCAGCATTACCCTAATACCAAAGCCAGGCAAGGGTGCTACAACATAAGAAAATTACAGACTATTATTACCAACAAACATAGTTGCAAAAACTGTTTAAAAATACTAGCAAACTGAATTCAACAGCACAGTAAAAACTATCATTCATGATGAAGTGGGATTTATCCCTGGGATGCAAGGATGATTCGACACACACATATCAATAGATGTCATAATTTCATAACGCCTTCATTTTGTTGAGACAGATTCCTTCAATACTTAGTTTGTTACGGTTTTTGTTTGTTTGTTTTTTGAAGGAGTCTTGCTCTGTTGTCCAGGCTGGAGTGCAGTGGCCTGATCTTGGTTCACTGCAACCTCCACCTCCTGGGTTCATGCCATTCTCCTGCCTCAGCCTCCCGAGTAGCTGGGACTATAGGCGCCCGCCACCATGCCCGGCTAAGTTTTTGTATTTTTAGTAGAGACCGGGTTTCACTGCATTAGCCAAGATGGTCTTGATCTCCTGACCTCGTGATCTGCCCACCTCAGCCTCCCAAAGTGTTGGGATTACAGGTGTGAGCCACCGTGCCCAGCCTGTTGAGTGTTTTTATCACGAAAGAGTAATAAATTTTGTCAAGTGCTTTTTTTACACCTATTGAAATGACTATAGGATTTTTATCCTTCTGTGAAGGATATACATACCTTTTCCTAACTCTAACCCTAACCCTATGCTTCCCTAACCCTAACCCTCACAGAATGAAGGAAAAAATCCTATAGTCATCTCAATAGGTGTAGAAAAAGCATTTGACAAAATTTAATACACTTTCACAATAAAAAACATTTAACAAAATAAGTATAGCAGGAATGTGTCTCAACATGATAAAGGCCACATATGACAGACCCACAGCTAACATCATACTCAACCGTGAAAAGTTAGAGCTTTTCCCCTAAGATCGGGAACAAGGCAAGGATGTCCACTCTCTCCGCTTCTATTCAACATAGTACTGGAAGTCTTAACCGAGAAATTAGGAACGAAAAAAACAAAAAGGCATTTAAGTCAGAATGGAAGGACTGTCTTTGTTTGCAGATGATATGATCTTATATATAGAAAACCCTGAAGACACCACTAGAAAAATTGTTAGATCTAATAAATAAATTCAGTAAAATTGAAGAATTCAAAATGAGCATACAAAATAATGTTGTGTCTTTTTTAACTAACAATGGACTATTCAAAAAAAATAAAGAACATGATCCCATTTACAATAGCATAAAAATACAATACTTAATAATATGCTTATCCAAGGGCTTGAAAAAATTATCCACTGAAAACTACAAAACATTGATAAAAGAAATTTTAAAAGATACAAATAAATGGAAAGGCCACCCATGTTCATGGATTGGAAGATATAATATTGTCAAAATGCCCATACTACCCACAGCAATCTACAGATTCAGCGCTGTCACCACTAAATTCCAATGCCATTATTATTTGGAAATAAATAGCAAAACAAATTCTAAAGTTTATATGGAACTACAAAAGACACAAAATAGCCAATGATCTTGAGAAAGAAGAACAAACCTGGAAGCATCACACTTCCTAATTTTAAACTATATTACAAAGCTACAGTAATTTAAAGTTTGCTGTTGACATAAAGTTGGACATATAGATTAATGCAGCTGAATAGAGAACACAGAAAAAAAACCCACTGATATACAGGCAACTGATTATTGACAAGTGTGCCAAGAAATACACAATGGGGAAAGGACAACCTCATCATCAAATGATGTTGGGAAAACTGGATAATCATATGCAAAAGAATGAAATTTGGCCCCTATTTTCCACCATCTCCAGAAGTCAACTGAAAACAGACTAAAATATAAGACATTAAATTGTATAAATTCTTTTTTTTTAATTTTTACTTTTAGACGGAGTTTTGTTCTTGTTTCCCAGGCTGGAGTGCAATGGTGCAATCTCCGCTCTCTGCAACCTACACCTCCTGGGTTCAAGCGATTCTCCTGTCTCAGCCTCATGAGTAGCTGGGATTACAGGAGCATGCCACCACCCCTGGCTAATTTTTGTATCTTTAGTAGAGACGGGGTTTCATCATATTGGTCAGACTGGTCTCAAACTCCTGACCTCAGGTGATTCACCCACTTCGGCCTCCCAAAGTGCTGGGATTACAGGCATGAGCCACCATGCCCAGCCGTATAAATTCTTAAATATATGACATCAAACTGTATAAATTCTAGAAGAAAAGAATGAGGAAAAGCTTATTGGTCTTGGCAATGATTTCTTAAATATGATCCCAAAAGCAAAGGCAACAAAAGCAAAAATACACAAGTGGGACTATGTCAAACTAAAAAGCTTCTGCACCTCAAAGGATACAATCAACAGAATGAAAAGGCAATCTGAAGAATGGGAGTAAATATTTGTAAACCATATGTATTTGATAAGGTTTTAATCTCCAAAATATTTAAGAAACTCCTCCAACTCAATAGTAAACAAGCACACAAGTAAACAAAACAAAAATCAATGCAATTAAAAAATGAACAAAGGACTTCAGTAGATATTTCTCCACAGAAGTCATAGAAGTGCTCATCAGGTATATAAAAAAACATACTCAATGATATGGTTCAGCTGTGTCCCCACCCAAATCTCACCTTGGATTGTAGTTCTCATAAATCCCACGTGTTGTGAGAGGGACCCAGTGGGAGGTAATTGAATCATGGGGGTGGTTACCCCCATGCTGCTTTTCTCATGACACTGAGTGAATTCTCATGAGAGCTGATGGTTTTATAAGGGGCTTTTCCCCCTTTTGATCAGCACGTCTCCTTGCTGCCACCATGTGAGGAAGGATGTATTTGCTTCCCTTTCTGCCATGATTGTAAGTTTCCTGAGGCCTCCCTAGCCCTGTGGAACTGTGAATCAATTAAACCTCTTTCCTTTATAAATTACCGAGTCTTGGGTATGTCTTTATTAGCAGTGTGAGAACAGGCTAATACACTCAACATTACTAATCATCAGAGAATTTCAGATTAAAACCACTAGATATCACTGCATCTCTGTTAGGATGACTATAATAAAAGTAAAAATAAAAAGTGTTGCCAAGGATGCTGAAAAATTGGGACATTTGAACACTGTAGATGTAAGTGTAAAATGAATCAGCCATTATGAGTAGCATAAAGATTTATCAAAAAAAAGTATCCTATGATCTAGCAATCCCAATTCTGGGTATATATTCAAAAGGATTGAAATCAGGATCTCAAAGACACATTTGCACTTTCATGTTCAATGCAACATTATTCACAATAGCCAAGGTAGGAAAAAAAAAACAGAAGTCCATTGACAGATTAATGGATAAAGGAAATGTGGTATCTACATAAAATGCAATATTGTTCAGCATTGAAAAAACAATGAAATCCTATTTGTGACAACATGGATAAACTTAAAGGACAATATGCTAAATGAAAGAAGCCATTCACAAAAGGACAAATACTGCATGAATCCACTTATATGAGGTGTATAAAATGCTCAGACTCATAGAAGCAGAGAATAGAATGGTGATTGCCAGCGGTCGGAAGGGGAAAGGGGAGTTGTTGGTCAATGGTGTAAAGTTTCAGTTATGCAAGATGAATAAACTCTAGAGATTTGTGTACCACATAGCACCTATAGTTAACAACATAGTATCATGCACTTAAGAAATAGGGTAGATTGCATGTTAAGTGTTCTTACAAACAAAACAACACACACACACACACACACACACACACACACACACAAAGGGGCAGAAGGACACCTTTGGAGGTAGAGGACATATTTATTACCTCTATTGTGGTGATAGTATCATCGGTGTATGCATATATCCAAACTCAACACATTTTCTATTCACCTGCAGATGTTTTTATATATCAATTATATTTCCATAAAGTTTATTTATTTAAAAAATAGTTATCTGAAGGTTTTCTCATTTTAAGTATTGAAATGATGTTGTTTCTGTGGAGCTTTGAGTCCAGACACAGAAGTCAACAGTTGAGAGGCACATTCTATTTTCTCTCACCTTGTGAATTCGCTGTGAAAACAACATGAGATTGTTTGCAGTTTTTATTGATCTTTCCCTAGTCTTTGACCCTGAGAGACCACCAATCGCTAAGTTGTTTGGTGTCAATAGAGACCAGGCAGAAAATGATGCCTGTAAAGACCTTAATACCCCCTGAGGTTTCACGATCGATAGCAACAATTTCCCGACAGATCACATAACAAATTTGAGAGACAAAAAAATAAATTAAAGAGAAAACTTGGATTTTATGACTTGATAATTTTAGGTAATCTTGACATGAAAAAAATATGTACATATCCCCTTCAAATCTGTCAAAAATAGAAAGTTGTATTTATTTTTATGCTTTTGTCACTTTTTAAACCATCCTTTAATATTTATATGAATAGCAGTTCATGATCAAATATTTTTAAATTGAAAGTTTTGAATATAGTCCCTAAAAAGTTAATTGGTATTTAATAGAAATTATATCACGTCAACCGATTTACTTCAAAATGGATATGTGTACACAGACACACACATTATGATTACTCTTCATTTGTGGAGTCTATTGAATATTTCTCTGTCATTCTCTTTCTCTGTTTTATACTTAATGGTTATTTTAAGCAATTAATATCATAAGTTGTTCAAAACTATTGTGTCCAGACTTTATGGTACAAAATCATGGTATCTTTGACCCATGCTTTTGTAAATTGATAAAGATCAAATATGTTTTCTAAAGAAAGTCTTAACTTGAAAGTGTTTAGTTATTCAGGCCAATATTCTTGTTAGCTCCACAGGATTTCTAAAAATTGTCAACTCTAACCTCAGCTTTAATGTCAAAACATACACATTTACTCTTAATCAGCAAAATGAGATGCCTGCACTCCTGTTTATTGCCATTGAACATGATTCCAAGATGCCTTATGGGCATTTATTCTCAAAAGCTGACATGTGAGAAATAAGGATACACAGTTATTTCATTCCTACATATCAGTGTTTATCAAGTGTTAACGGGAACAATTTGCATCAGTCTTTCAAGAAAAGATAATTCGATGTAGGGGCCCAACTCAAACTCACTAAATCAGAATCTCTGGAATCAAAGCCTTAGAAATATCACTTTTCGTAATCACTTCATGTAATCCTTATGCATTCTAAATTTTGGAAATTCTTGCTCTTGATAATCCCAGTTCGCTCTTTAGATGAAATTAGATGATGAGAAAGCTGTGGGCTAGGATTGCGCTCCTTAGTGTCCATGTACTTTTTCTGGTGCTAAATACAGAAAATTGACAAGACATCATCTGTTTCCATTAAGAGGTGGTAGAAAAATTCATTTATAAACTTATTACATTTAATCTATTACCATATGTATTAAAGATATTATAATTATAGGCCTGTTATATCCCAAACATAATCTTGGATATTGTCTTAGTCTGTTCAGGCTGCTATAATACAACATCATACACTGAGTAATTTATAAACAACAGAAATGTATTGCTCACAGTTCTGGAGACTGAGAAGTCAAAAATTAAGGCATCAGCAGAGTGAGTGTCTGATGAGGGCTTCATAGATGGCACCTTGTCCTTGCATCCTCACATGTCAGAAAGAGTCTCAGGGCCAGTGCCACCCCAATAGCTTCAACAGGCATTTCCTGTGTGGGATTCTTTGCAGTAACCCTAAATAATGGCTCCACTTAACATTGCCCTGGTGCAGACTTTCTTTGGTTGCCCTGTGACAGTACTCTGCCTGGGCCCTGATGCTCTTGAGGGCATCTTTTGAAATCTAGGTGGAGGCAACCATGCCCTTAGAGTTTGTGTACTCCGTGCCATGGTAGAGGTGGTATCATGTGAATTCCACCATGGTTTACCATCTGGTCCCTCTGGAGAGGTGGCCACAGCAGCCTGCCCTGCACCTGGGCCTACTTGAGCCACACCTGGGATAAATGAGGAGCACTGTGCCAGAATGCAGGGAGAAGAGGCTTGAATGAGGCTCTGTGGGTGTCTGAGGGTCCTCTTCGACATCAGTCCATCCCCTGGGAGTTGACCTGTAACTATGGCCTGTGATGGGAGGGTCAGCCAGCACCTAAAATATCTGAAATGCCTTCAGGGTCATTCTTTCACTGTTTTGATGAATAGCATCTGGCTTCCTTGTGTTCATGCTAATCTCCTTATCAAATATTTGCTTCACTGTACTCTTGGTATTTTCTCCTGAACATGCTTTTTCTTTCTTTACAAGATGGTCAGCCTGATAATTTTTCAAGTCTTTACATTATGGTCCCATTTTGTGTATAGATTTCATCTTTAATTTGTTTTTCCTTGCATTTTACTATAAGCAGTCAATAGAGGCCACGCTGCATTCTCAACACTTTGCTTATTGATTTCTTCCACCACATATCCTATTTCACCACTTACAATTTCCACCTTCCACAAAGCAGTAGGACAGGAACACAACATCTGTAAAAAAGTTAAAGCCTTCTCTACAGATCTGTCTCCTTCTGGGTCTTCACCAGAATCACCCTTCATAGCAAATACCCCCAAAACTCTTCCAGCCTCTACCTGGTACCCAGTTCCAAAGCTGCTTCCACATATTTAAAAATTTGTTACAGCAGCACCTCATTCCCAGTACCAATTTCTTTCTCAGTCCTTACAGGTTGGTATAACAAAATGCTATAGCCTAGGCAATTTATAAACAACTGAAATTTACTGCTTATAGTTCCAGAGGCAGGGAATTCCAAGATCAAGGAAGTAGCAGACTCAGTATCTGGCAAGGGCCTCATAGATGACACTTTGTTGTTAAATCTTCACGTGGTGGAAGGGGCGAACAGCTCCCACATGCCTCTTTTATCAGGTCACTAACCCTATTAGTGAGGGCTCTACCCTCATAATTTAAACACCTCCTAAAGGCCTCACTTCTTAATACTATCACATTGACAATTAAGTTTTAACATATAAATTTCGGAGGCCACATTCAGACCGTAGCAGATAATATGGATGGCTTTTGTTCTTTATGAGTTAGTGAGAAAATATTTATCTTAAGTATCATATGTTTCAAGAGGACTTATATACTTTTTCTACATAATTTTCCACACACATCTTCCATACATTTCTACACACTTAGATTTAGCACATAATAGTAATCGTTCCTTCCGTGAAAACATTTTAAAGTATATATTGTGACCTGGTGTTATGGTAAGTGAAATTTAAAATACTGAGCATTTTTATAAACTATTATTGAAATGAACAATAATAGATTCCATCAGTTAGGGAAAAAAGAAGGGTCCTGATACATCACAAATTCTGGAATAAGTTATTATTTTTTTTTCAATACAGAAGGGAAGAAAATTTTTAGAAGGCCACATCTTATTTCACCCTACACTGAAACAATGTGAAGTTGAAAATAGGGACAGGACATTTTCTTACAACATTTTCACAGCACTATATGTTTCTCTGCATTTTCCAACGCTGTGCAGATGAATGTTACAATGTCTTCTTTTACTTTAACCACTGCTGGTGTGGTTACCTAAGAAGTTTGGATTTCCAGTCACCATTAATGGGCTGCACATGTACCTCTGAACTTAAAATAAAAGTTAAAAAAAAATAAGGTTGTTTTTCAAGGAAATACAGATTATGACTGGTGGAAATTGTTTATGTCTCTCTATAAACATCTAGATGTACATCAGGGCATATGCATATTCATGCATGCATACTTAATTATACATACATGTTGCATATGCTCATTTTGAAGACATGCAATGAATATTTTTAAGGTAAAGGAAAAACTAGATGTCATTCTGTATGAGAAGACAAATACTAATTATGGACAATAACTCTATGATTAAATTTAATACTTGCCAAACATAAAAAGCACATGTACCTAAAATTTTATCAGCTGAAACCTAGAAAATCTCCCTTCAGAAAAGGCTAGCTCTTCCACATTTTATCAAAAAATATATTGTGGTTAAGAACTAATATATATTATTTATAGAATTCTTTTCTGGTACTTAGAATTAAATTTCCTTAAATTTTTCTTAAATATATTGTGGTTATGAACTAATATATATTTTTTATAGAATTATTTTCTGGTACTTAGAATTACATTTTTCTTAGCATACTTCTGGATCATCCATATAGGCTAATCTTTTTTACTTTCTGCAGATCTATTATTTTCTTATTTTTATTATTATTATTTTTTTGAGACAGGGTCTCACTCTGTTACCTAGGATGGAGTGCAGTATGATTATGGCTCACTGCTGCCTCCATCACCCCGGGTTCAGCTGATTTTCCCATCTCAGCCTCCTGAGTAGCTGGGACTATAGGCATGCACCACCATGCCTGGCTAGCTTTCATTTATTATTATTATTATTATTATTATTATTATTATTATTATTATTATTATTATTTGTAGAGATAGAGGTTCGCCATGTTGACCAGGCTGGTCCCAAACTCCCGGGCTCAAGTGTTACCATGCCCCTTGGCCTTCCAAACTGCCAAGATTACAGGCATGAGACACTGCACCTAAGCTATTATTTTTCATTTGATAAGAATTTTTAATGTTTTTCTTTAGAATTGAAAAAAAAGTGTGAAACAAATCCAGACAAATCCAGAATGTGACCACCCCATTAGTCCATGGAAACTGAGTGTCAGGAAAGAAAATTCTTCAGTTTCTGTGTATTTTTCTGTGTGTCTTTGTTATTTTTCATATGTACACATTTTCGTGTGTGTGTGTGTGTGTGTGTGTGTGTGTAATTTATTTTATCATTGAGGATGATTATCACATTGTGGTGATCCAAAAGATCCCATGGCATTGCCAAGAAGAATATTCTCAGGTGATTTAATTTCTCCTTTTTCTGGGAAACTTAGCCAAAAGAATGAACCCCAAGACTTATTCAGATCTTAAATACAGAACATAAATCCTGCTTTTCTGTAGACATTTTGTTAGATACTGACACCCAAGGAAAATAGAATGTGTTTGAAATGTTGGCCTCACATGCGAAAATACCATTGATCTTATGAACTTTGATTCTCTAAGGACAACATTTGAATTTCTCTCAAATTATGTGCAACTCGTGCAGATGGTAGCATTTTATGCTCTAAAATTGAAATAATATATGATACAAACTTAACACTTAAGTGTCCAATATCTAAAAGAATGTCATTTTTCACTTCAGCATGTCACCTGTGGCCCATCCTTTCTTTATAAATGCTCCCAGAGCATTCTTTATAAATTGCTCCCAGAGCAATTCATTTATAACTGTCATATGATACAACATTCTAGGCTGGATTGAAAGTATATTAGTCGAGAGATCATAATATATTATAAAGTCCTTGTAAAAAGCGTTGCTTTATGTATCTTTGAGGAGACCGTAATGGCTACAGACTGTAGCATTATTTAACTTAGACTATTTAAAGGGTTATTTACCTTAGAGTCATTTCCTGTTTCAGGCGCCAAGGAAGTAACCACTGCCTTAATCAAGGACTCCACTCATTCATTTACTCAGGGCTTCTTCTACCAGTACTGAGTATCTTTAACATGCTATACCTTACGCTGGATACTGAGATGAGAGAGAAGGAATCCCTACTGTGTTAAAGAGGTCTGAAGTCTAGGAGGCTGTGGCTTGGACTGCTGGGAACTTCCCAAATATTCATTATCTCTGCTTCCTTAGTAACAGAACCCTGATTTTCTTCAAGACAATGATATTTTCAGGTAAAATACTATGTTTCCCATCCTTGTTTACAGCTAGGAACGGCCATTTGATGTAAGCAGAAGACATAGGATCAGGATTCCAGGAAATGTTTTTAAGGGGTCTGTCTTGCACAGCATCCAGTGACTTTCAGGATGAAAACCACAGCTTTGAGAACAACTGAGTAGAAAGAAAGAAAACAGCCTAATGACTCATGGATGCATTGTATCATCACTGGGCAGGCTACCTTTGGACTACTATTGTGTGAGAAAATAAACCTTTGACTCATTTGAGACACTATACCAAGTCTTTGTTAATTACACCCAAATGCAATTGCTAAGAAATACAGTGGTCAAAACTGTAATCAGGTACATTAAAATGGAGCATATATATTCCTACTTTAGAAGTACATACAAAGTGTGTTTGTTGCAGTTATCATCTCCACTATAATAATACATATATTACATATAATCAATTGTTTTTGATTATTTGCTTAAATTTTATTGTATCTCCCTCTGTGTTTGCCTCTTCCTGCTAGAAAATAAACTTCATAGCCGGGCACGGTGGTTCACGCCTGTAATCCCAGCACTTTGGGAGGCTGAGCCGGGTGGATCACGAGGTCAGGAGTTCAAGACCACCCTGGCTAACACCCCGTCTCTACTAAAAATATAAAAAATTAACCGGGCGTGGTGGCAGGCGCCTGTAGTCCCAGCTACTCAGGAGGCTGAGGCAGGAGAATGGCGTGAACCCAGGAGGCGGAGCTTGCAGTGAGCCGAGATCGCGCCACTGCACTCCAGCCTGGGCAACAGAGCGACATTCCGTCTCAAAAGAAAAAGAAAAAGAAAAGAAACTTCATAAGGGAGAGGACACTTGGCTGTTTTTTTTGCTAACACACCTCCAGTGCCTAAAACAATGCCTGACACAAAGCCAACATTCAGTAAATATGTCTTGAATGAATGAACAGATGACTTAATGGATGGTGAGGAAATGGATGGATAAATATATGGCACTTTCTCAGAAGATGTAGTAGTTCATTTTATCTGTCAGGAGAGTAAATGATAGCAGAGCAAGGTCTGTCTCTGCTTAAGCAGATAAATTTTGATAAGGTAAGCTTTCTGGGTTCTGAACAAATGTTTCTCTGGTTTACAAACTGAGAGTAATATTTTACTGCCTTATTTTATAAATCAAATACAGTATTAATTGAAAATAACCACCACCCTGACATTGTTGCATACTGTGGGAGTCATTTAGCAGTTGAGATTGGCAATATAATAACAAAGTGCTGTTATAGAAAAAGCAGGCTTATATATGTGCCTCATAACTTTCATATAACTATAGATAAGTATACATACCTGCATAAGCATACTTATAACCCTATAAAACATTTGTCAATTTTTCTTTCATATGTATCTGGGCATAATTTGCACTTGTCATTGATTTTTCTTTATTGAACTGATGTCTTCTAGCCCTGAGCAGTTACAAGTAGTGTCACTCGTGGTCTGCAACTTTTTTATTTTATCAGGTATTGGATTCTGTGTAATGCTACTGGTCAGATATTTTTGGCAAGTTTATGTCTCAAACAATGTTCCTTATAGAGATTCATCAAAATCTCCACACATTTACTGGAGCCTAGTTTCTGAAGAACCATAATCGTAACTACTGCCTTTCCTGTGATTCCCACTGTAGCTGGTAGAATACTTCTGTCATGGTTGTTATATGTAGCCCTGTCTCTTCACGTCTTTTAGGATCCTGCTCTTCGAATTAGGGGGAATCTGTTTCATTCTTATTAGAACACAATGACTCCTTTTAAAAATTGGTTACACTTTACACATAGTATGACATATTCTTGAGGGTCTAGGAAATAAGAGAGCCTCAAGAAAAAATTATTTTTACTAGAGTGTAACCTCATTTTGGTCTTCATTCTAGGAGCTGCTATTCATGTTGACCAACAGTCTTAAGCAGAAAGAAATAGCTTCTGGAAAAATAACTGTAAGTGTAACTAAATTCTCTGGAGAAACCTATTCTTTCTTTGTGGTCTTTTTGCATCTTCTTAATTTTTGTTTTCATGTATACATTTTTGATATGGTTTTGGACATTTGTCCCTCAAATCTCATGTGGAAATGTGATCTCCAGTGTGGAAGGTGGGCCTGGTGGGAAGTATCTGGGACATGGGAGTGGATCCCTCATGAATGGTTTGGTGCCCTCCCCGTGGTAATGAGTTACCCAAGATCTGCATGTTAATAAGACTCTGAGACCTCCCCCAACCCACTGCAGCCTCTCTCATCATGTGACATACCTGCCACCCCTTCTTTTGCCATGATTGGGAGCTTCCTGAGGCCTCACCAGAAGCAGCTGCTGGCACCATGCTTCTTGTATAGTCTGCAGAATCCTGAGCCACATAAATCTCTTTTTTAAATATAAACTACCCAGTCTCAGGTATTCCTTTATATCATTGTAAAATAGACTAACACAATTTTGTTTTACACCTGCTTTCTTTCTTTTCCAATAACAATGTAACAGAGGGCACAATACCTAGTAAGAAGGCATGGCTAGTATTTTAAAATTTTGTTTTCTTGGAAGGTGCATATGGATAGTTCTTCTGGTATATACATGGGAGGAAATTTTATATTAATTTGCTTTATTGCAATTTTACCTAAATTCAGTGTGGACCCATGAGGACCTACTACTACTCCAAGATATTCTGAAATAAAATTTATTTATAGGAAATTTAACTAATAATTTTCTATTTGTAAAACAATTACCCTATCTTGTAATCAACTCTCATAATATATTTACAAGTTATTTTCTATTTTGCAAAGAATAAAGATGTATTTGTTAAAATATGGAAACTTGAACATCCAAAATAGTCCAAATAAATGAAGCTTACTACTTGTAGCCTAAAGGACAATCTTTTATCAAATATGTATTAGAGTACTGGTTTTCAGCCAGGGGAACTTTTGCTCACTAGGAGACATTTAGCAAGGACTGGACACATCTTTGATTGCATTACTGTGATGGTATGTGTATGCTACCAACATCTAGTGTGTAGGGCCCAGTGATGCTGCCAAACTTCCTAATAATTTAATTATAACTCATAATCAAATTATAACTAGGAGAATTGTGCCCCAAATATCAATAATGCCTGGCTTGGGAAAGCCTGTATTTGCATAACTAGATGCCAAATAAAACTTGATTATGAGTTATAATTAAATATTTTAATCAACTTTTACATAAGATAAAATATTATTAAAATGATTTTGTTCTGTGTATCATTAAAATATTTTCATCAGTCAAGACGATGTGAGGATTCAAATTTTTTACTAATAAAATGTTATAGAATTTATACCCAAAAATACAACATAAGAAGAGATCACTTCTATAAGATACTCCATAATAATCATATTACTGACTTGGGAACTTGATTGGTTTAAATAAAAGAGTCAATCTTTTCTCTATATAATGCATGGAGAAGACCTTTTTATTTCTCTCAAGTTATCAAAATAAAAGGACACTAATTATTTCTTTTTGTGGCTTAGTGAATTTTTCCATAGCTGTTATTTGTTAAAAACTATAATTCAAATTAAACATAACTTGACATAATATTATGAAGTAGTTTAAAAAACAGATGTCCTGGCCAGGCGCGGTGGCTCACGCCTGTAATACCAGCACTTTGGGAGGCCGAGGCGGGCGGATCACGAGGTCAGGAGATCGAGACCATCCTGGCTAACACGGTGAAACCTGGTCGCTACTAAAAATGCAAAAAATTAGCCGGGCGTGGTGGCGGTCCCAGCTACTCGGGTGGCTGAGGCAGGAGAATGGCTGAACCAGGGAGACGGAGCTTGCAGTGAGCCGAGATCGCACCACTGAACTCCAGCCTGGGCGACAGAGCGAGACTCCGTCACAAAAAAACAAAAACAAAAAACAAATGTCTTAAAATAATGTTTTAGGAAGAGGTGTTTAAATCATCTAATTTGGCCATAACCCTGTCAATGAGACAAAGAAGAAGGCACTAGTTAAGCTAATTTCATCAGACAAGGAATTTGTGAATTAATTGATCATTGCTTTATAGAAAATCTTAAACCTGGAGAGAAAAGGCAGGAAGATAGAATTGATAATCTTCTTTTCTGTTAGTGATTTTAAATACTTTTTATAAGTTTTGACACTATGAATTTCAAGATGCTATGTTTTGAATCACTAAATATCACATAAACAACTTTAGCCTGTATGTTCTTTTAAAACAAATAACTCAAAAATAATTACTACGGGAGTAATGAGTTGCAACCGGGTCATATGTAATGCAGCAAATAAATAGGTTAATCTCCAAGAACTTCTAAGGTTCATTTGATCTTTATTATCCACATTTTTCCAAAACTTACTCAAGTACTATTCTGGCAGTCACATTATATTAATTGTCACTGTATGAACTATAACATTTATAGCTTTATCACATTTATATAGCCAGCTTCACAGTATTATAAACTTCAGTTATTTCGGAAGGAAGAATACATCTTATCAGCTAATATTCATGAGAAAGTTAAAAAGAACTTTCATGGTGGTTTAATTACGTCTTTAACAGAATTTAAAATTCAAATGTACCATTTTTTTCTAAAGATATAAGAAGAATTTTCTAGTGCTGGTATGAAACTTCATTAAGTAATCATTTATTTTAATTAATCGGGCTAATATGCTTCCTTCAAGGTAAGAAATGCAGTTATATCTACACCATAATAGGATATCTTATTCTCTTTTTTGTTCTGTTTTGTTTAGTTTAACAACAGACAAAAATGTAAGAGTATTGCATTGCAATGTAACAGTCAGTCTGTGTATCTCCAATGCTGTACCGTATTAATGGAGCAAGCTATGCTGTAATGATATTTGTCTGAACAACATCATCGAAAACTGTAAATCCCTATTGAAAACCAACACTATAACCATATGTAGTTGACAGAAAGTGATCTGAATGTGTAGCAAAGCTAAGTTTGAAATTATAACTAATAGTTAGGAAATGCTGCTTCCTCTTGTCATGTTAATCTGCTTGCCCAGAAAGCAGAGGAACACTTTAATCAAATGCAATCTTCTTGAACTATACATTCAATGATCAAAGATGCTGTGGTTAAAATAGCGTTCTAAAGACCCAGCGTATCAATCTTCCCCAGTGCTTCCTTCCACCAGTTAGAGCCTGTGGGGCTCCTGCACAGGTGGGCAAAGAATGATTTGAAAGTCACTGCTCTAACCATTTTCAGAGAACTGATACAAAGGGAATTGTCTCATAAAAATTTTTAAGACAATTCAGAGAGTTATACAGTATATCCAGAGAGCAGGTGTTTCTGGTCTATTTCTTATATTTTCCTTTTATCTCCTTGTCTAATTTTCTGAGCTAATGTAATTATGTTATATGAAATTGTTTCTAAAAGGTTTCTAGTAGAAATAAAGCAATTTAATTTTCAGGCAAGGCTGCCAATACATATTTGGGATCCCTTTATTACTTACATCCTTACTTGACTGTATTTCCACTTTTTCTGCCAATTTTTCCTATTCATTTTAGGAAGCTCACCTCAAACTCTATGTAATTCCTTTGAGGAAGCTGAAATAATCTCAGAGAGCTTTGGTAAAAATACACATTTTAACACACCAATCTTGCTTGAGTTATATTTCACTGTAACTTGGTAAGTGGAAGGAATTAACTTTCAGCCATGGGTGTTGCAGAATATCTGGCAAGGAAAAGCTTAGTGTGTGGAGCTTCTTGAATTTTCCTCATTCTTCACTAGACACTTGCTTAGTTAGTTGGCTACAGAATTCTGCCTTCCCTAGATAAGCCTCTGCCAACTGAAAAAATATCTCTGAGTGGGAACATACCAAACTCGTAATGCGTTTCTGAAATATGTACTTTATTTTATCAAAAACAAAAACAAAAACGACTTACCAAGGCACATTCCCTAGACCAAACATAGAATTCTGGGTTCAGTTCCTACCCCATCATCAGTGGCTGATCTTCCAATGGTTATATAATAATATGATAGAGCAGCCCTATGTACTACAGGAGGGGTATTTGTCTGCAAAAATGAGGGACTGAAAACAACAGGCCTCAAATCATACGCATATTGCCAGCTATTGTACTAAACAGCTTAGAGAAAGCTTTGCTTTTCACGAATGTATTAGAAAATGTATTTCTAAAGAAATATTCATTTTTCTGAATTCTAGACTAACAGGTAAATAATAAATTACTGTCAATAATTAAGCATCTATTTCACAAATTTTAGTTTCTAGATGGCAGCTCCTCCAACTGATCCAGGTACTGAATCCACGGGAACAACGTCCAGTGGTGAATTAGTGGGTCTCCCTCCTTTAGCAAGTTGATGTCAAGTCAGGAAACTTGCAAAGTCTGAGACATTATTCTACTTGAACAGTTAGAGGGATAAGTCAATAGATCGATCCTAGCAGAAGCACCATGCCTCTGAATCAAATATCAGACATTTATTTGCTTACAGCAAAAACAGTGACCAGAGTAAATGTGTAGCGTTGTTTTCCAATACCAAGCAGCCCCAGGCAACACTATGAGAGCCAGATGGATTCTGCACATGCAGCGGGTTTGTACTACAGGAAGGGCATCATTTCATGGGTTGAATTGTGTCCCCCATGAAGATATATCGTAATGCAACCCACAGTACTTCCAAGTGTGACCTTAGTTGAAATGGGGTCACTGCAGATGCAATTAAATTAGATAAGGTCATACTGGAGGAAGGTATGTTCTTAATCCAATATGACTTGCATTCTTACAAGAGGGAGAAAATAGAAAAAGAGAATGTCATGCACCGGCATAGACATGGAGGAAAGACAAGTGTTTAAAACAGAGATTGGAGTTATGCTGCCACAAGCCAAGGACTATTCAGGGCTACTGGAAGCTGGAAGAGGCAAGGAAGGATCATTCCTTAGGGGCTTTAGAGTGAGCACGGCCCTGACAACACCTTTATCTGAGACTTCCAGCCTGCAGAACTATAGCACAATAAATTTATGTTTTTCTAAGCTACCCCAGTTTATGGTATTTTGATACAGAATGCCTAGGAAATTAATATAGACCCCAAAATTATAAATGTGAGTACCTACACATTTATAGATATAAAGAGACAGGATATCCACCCTTGTCATCTTCTTCAGAAGTTGAGACTTTATTTTTTCCTATTTTGAGAAAGGAAGATCTCTAGGTCAAAATGTAAGTTTCATGGGAGGTAAGAAACATTTCATTACCCTTTGAAAGGGACCGCATGGCCCCACCATAAAGGAATCCTAGCTATAGGCTCTAGAGCTAGGCTGTGTCTCCCAGTTCCTGACTGTCTTATTTTCCTTATCTTATCAGGCCACTCACTTGCAGCATCTTTTTACCTAAGAATCTTGGTGTTTGTTTCACGGCACATTAACAGTGGATAAAGGGACTAGTTCTACTGTGTCTTCAAGGGAATTGCTAGTACCTTAATTTTCATAAGAACTTGGTAAACATTTGTTGGTTGTATGAATAATATCGGTTATGTTTGCAATGGTAGACCAGAAGACGTAATATAGTCCCTCTTATACTTCCATTTTCTCTCAAATCACACAATCTATCTCAAATAACACATTTATTCATTATGTCTTCAGACAAAATGTCCTCATAGTCAGAGCAAATCTGATAATTATTTAGGTTGTTGATGTCGAAGTGAAAGTAAGGGTACATTATGGGTTGATGAGAACACAATTCTTTCTTGTTTTCTAGCCTTAAATTAGAGTTAGGTTAGCTCTCTATGTTAAAAAGAAAAGTATGTTTGAATAACACAATTCTCTTTCTACTTTTCTTACTGATTCTATGTCTAAGATTATCATTAACATTTAATAATAAGTAGTATTAATAGTATATTCTATAAAACAGAATTAGATATCAATTTTAAAATCTGAAAAATAATGGGAAAATGTGGAAAATTTATTTCGTATTTTAAGATGTTTCCTTTAGACTAGTCTGTCCTAGGAAATTCGTAAATCATATATGGTACAGCAGCTGATGCCAAAAAGACCATTTTCAGATAACAGGGAAAGTTATTCAATTATTCTTATTAAACCAAGACTGTTTTATGCTTATAGGTTTGAATGCTGTGAAATTGGTAATATTTTAATATTCACCAGAATATTGTCTCTACATAATCACAGGCATTTTATTTTTGGTATAGGTCATTTTCTAGTCATTCGTATCTCTAATGAATTACTGCTATTTATTTTTCTGAATAGATATAGCTCTGAGTTTCTAGAAACAATCAAACAACCAAACAAAAAAAAAACCTAAACGATTTTATATTCTCCAAGAGCAAAATAAAGGCACACTTTGAAAACAACATTCTAACTTGGAAAAGGTCATATTTGATTAGTGAAAAGATTGAATTATGGAGTAAATGCGAATGCTTGCAGTTTCCCTACAGTAAATCAAACTAGACTAAGAAAAAGATAGATAAGTAAAGCTGAGGGGAAACCAACTTAATGAGAAAATAAGAAAGATTTATAATGAGCATATCATTGTTTATATGTAAATGGAATCATAAAGTGCTTAAATCCATTTATTCTCTTGAGTAGGTATAAGTGTATTCAGTAGTATTATTTGCACTCAATATATTCAGCAGATTTTCTTTTGAACCTCAGGTACAGAGAATTTAGTTAATAATAACCTTCAGTTCACGTCAATTATTATTCATTATAACATCAATCCATGAAAGTCTGCTCCTGTATTCCAACTCTACTCTCGTTACACCTCATAGGCATCATAAAATTCACATAGATATAGTTTGTCTTATGTATAATTTACATACATTGATTTAGGCTGTAAATCACATACAGTTTTCTTTCTCTTTTTTATTTTTACTCAATAATATGTTTTTAAGATGTAGTCACATTTCTTTATGCATATATGGGATATTCATTATAATCACTCCATAATATTTTGCCATTTACATCTACCCTGTCCAATCCCTGGTGAGAGAAACTTAAATGACCTCAGGCCTCTTCTCCCACAAGCGCTACTGCAATGAAGATGCTTATATGTGATCTTTACACTCCTTATTACAGATCATCTCTGTAGTTACTACTAGGAGAGGGAGGCCATGTGTCACATGATGTGTACGTTTTTATTTCACTAAATACTGCCAGATTGCTCTGCTGAAAGGGTGCTACTATGGAAATGCCTAATATCAGTCACACATGTCATATTTCTTCACATTTCTTTCCATCACTCGGTATTATCTGATTTATTTTATGTCGATTTGACCAATGTAACATGGTGAATGAGGATGTTGACTGACTGCATTTTCCTGAATTTTAGTTGGTTTGAGATTCTTTTCATATAATTTTAGCTTTTTGGATCTCCTCATGTGCATATTGTCTGTGGATGATTTGCCCTCATTTTTCTTTGGACTTCCTGTTTCTTTTTCTTACACAAATGCAATAATTCTTCACATATTTCCCGATTTTAAATAACTATTACTTTGGAATATCATAAATATTATAAAATATTTCCCAGACATGTGGATATAAGAGTGTCACATGTACAAGTCAGCTCTGATTAACCTTTCCTTCCACATGCCACTCAGCCCAGGGAAATGGTTAGATATCCTTCTATAAAAACTAGGAAGCACTGATTTAGCAGTAACACTTTGACATATTTTTCGGATATATGGAAATATGTAAAATATGTTTTCCAGATATATGGAAATATGGAAAATATGTTTTTCAAGTATATGGAAGATATATCTGAAAAATATGTCATAGTGTTATCACTAAATCAGTAGTTCTTAGTTTTCATGTAATCATATTGAACTATTTCCCTGGGCTGGGCAACATGTGGAAGGAAAGATTGATCCTAGGTGACTTGTATGTGTGACACTCTTGTCATCTGCTTTCCTCTTGGGACATGTTTCAGCATTGCTTAACATTATTTCCTAGATTCCACCCAGAACATTAATACTGTCTTTTTTTAAATTCCACAGAAGTGACACATTGGCCCATGATCTATCAGGGAAATGTGTGTGGGAGTGAAGTGGGATGGGGATAAAGCAAAAGCATCTGTGCTTTCGCAACATATTTCTCACTTATGTTTTATCTGGAATCTGCAAACCTAGCTTTGCCTTCTGTGCTGTCCCCAGGGTCGGCTTTTAGGGATGGAGCCAGCAGTAGGTGAGCACCTTACTACGAACCACCATAGATTGGCTTATTTTTTAAACCCACCACTATCAAAGAAATAAAATTTTTCAAGGGATAAGTCCAAATAATGTAATTTTACTTTAAAACTCTAGTAATAAAAACACTTTTATTCTTTTATATTATCTCAGTAGAGTTGGTAAAATGGAAAGCTTTGAGATCTAACTTACCAATCAGTTGTCCTTAGTTAAATGTTGAACTTGATTCATGTCAATTTGTCAAAAGCACTTACAATATGAAATGATCTTTTCCCAAAGATATTTTCCATAATGTGACAATTTTAGCACACTAAGATGTTCTAAGTGAAAAATAGGCACATATATATGACTTAAAAGCATAGCATGGAGAAGCATTATTTGAAATCATAAAAAAGGCAAAGCTTTATTTTTATTAGATAATATATAATTGATATACAATAAGTTGGAAAATTTATTTGGCCATTATAGTTTTCCATTGGCACCTAAATAAAGAAAAAAACATAATATGTATGGTTATTTAAATCATACCTAACTTGTCTTTAAAGGAAGTAGGCACTAATCTCTTTTCACAGATTATTTTTCTGCCTTTTTACTTAAATCAGTTACTTAGAGATGTTCGATTTATGCTTATTACATGTTTAAGAAATTGTTCATATTTCTAAAGGGGTGCATTTTAATGAAAAATGCATTTGCTAGAGAAATCACGTAGAAAATCTGAAGGATTTTTAAAAATACTTAAAAAGTTAGAACTTGCCTTTTAAAGTGGGGCAAAAAGCTATTTAAACAGGATGGGAGGCCTTAGGGTGCAGTGAACATTTTTAATTGCATATTTAATTAGATATATACTGAAGAGGTAGTGTTTGGTTTAGCTAAAGCTCATGGGCTTTGAAAAAAACATTTTTTCTAACTTTTTTTAATCTTTTCAAAAATTGGATTGAGCTGAATAGAATTTAATTTTGTTGCTACTCATTATGAAAGGATTAAACCTTTTATTTTCCTATGGAAAATAAGTTGACAAGTTTATTTTAAAGCATGACTTTTCTCTTTTAATTATCCTTGAAACTTATTTAGCACCTGAACATTTGCTTGCTTGACAGTTCAGAAAAAATTAACATAGCATCTAAATTGTGTAAAATCTAACATCTTTTACATGTTTTACCATTTAACCCAGAGCTTCAATGTCTGGGTGGCTATTGACATTAAGTCTAAGAATAGGCCAGGCACAGTGACTCATGCCTGAAATCCCAGCACTTTGGGAGGCCTAGGTGGGCGGATAACAAGGTCAGGAGATCGAGACCATCCTGGCTAACATGGTGAAACCCTGTCTCTACTAAAAATATTAAAAAATTAGCCAGGCGTGGTGGCAGGCGCCTGTAGACCCAGCTACTTGGGAGGCTGAGGCAGGAGAATGGCTTGAACCCGGGAGGCGGAGCTTGCAGTGAGCCGGGATCGCGCCACTGCACTCCAGCCTGGGTGACAGAGCGAGACTCTGTCTCAAAAAAAAAAAAAAAAAAAAAAGAGTCTAGGAATAACGGCAATATTATTCTCATTCCATATTAATTTTAATATTGCTTCAGGGCAGTATTAAACATGCATGACATGAGTTACAAGAATCTTTTCTTCAATTTCAAGAAATGATTAAACTTATTTTAGTATATTTAGTTTAAAACTTGAGATTCCTCTGTATGTTTAAAAGGATTTCCATTTAAAACACTTATTCTTGTTGTTTTGTTGTTTTTTGAACTTCAACCATTTGTAAAACTTAACTTCAGTAATTTCACATTTCTTAAGAATACTTGATTTGAGTTTTCACTGTATTTGAGATTAGGATAGCAGTTACATTCAAATGAGCTACCACATTTACTCCCTAAAAAGATGAGCGTACCCACGGAGAAAGTAGCTATAATTTAATCTATAGAGAGTATATAAATGTAATTTATTTCTAGAGCAAGAAATAAGTCATTGGCTGTAATTCCCTTATGTAATTCCCTCCATCCTCAAGTAAATAAACAAACTATTCAGTAGAAAAAAAAGTATTTAGAAATGAGAAAGGCATGAAGCCTATAAGAAATAAGATGAGCTGGATTATAATGTTTGAAGTAAGAGAGCTGTACTTGGTTTATTAGCAAGAGCTTAGAGAAAAGATTCCTACATATATATGAATATATATATATATTCATACATATGAAGAAAAAATATATAAATAAATATATATTTATATATAACACACTGTACTTAGAGAAAAGTTGTGTCCTGTGATATTATATGCTTAAGGGATGCGTTGTATAAACAGTGCAGAAAAGGGGAGTTGGTTTTTGCTGCTTTGATGATACATGTGTCACACACAAAGGCAGGAAACGTAAACTATTTGAATGAGGAACAACAAGAGCTGAAGTAGCAACCATTTCCAGACTAGAGTTTTTACCGTCACAGCATTTTTTATTCCGGACGTAATAGGATTAGAACATAAAATTACTCACAGGCTTGAGATTGTACCCTTCTGTGTATTCCTTATGGCATCCTGAGACGTAATCATTCACTAAGGCATCTGTGAGTATCAGCTCCTATCATGATGGTCTTTCGGGAAGTGTTTATCTCTTCAAATGCATTTCTCATTGTCATCAGATACTGAGAGGAAGCTGAGTGAAAGAGAGGATACAGTTTGCTTCCATCATTATTGGCATTCCCCTGTCTCTAGAAATGACAAATGTGCTCCTAGAGGGTAATGTAAACTACATGGAATTGGGAGACATCCAACAGGAAATCCGAGAGGTAGTATGCATAGCTATGGCACAGTTGAAAAACGTGGCTCATTTTCAGAATTAAAATGACAGGGGGGCTTCTGGGTTGCTTAGAATGTGTTATTTTTGGTGGGGGGAGGTTGTTGCTTATAAGAAATAGTATATTAATTTTCCATTGATTTCCACTGACACAAACTTACCATGAACGTAGCAGTTTAAAACAGCACATGTTTATTAGCTCATGCTTTTGTAAGTCAGAAATATAGGTATGGCATGTGTATCAGTCCATTTTCATACTGCTGATAAAGACATACCTGAAACTGGGAACAAAAAGAGGTTTAATTGGACTTACAGTTCCATATGGCTGGGGAGGCTTCAGAATCATGGCAGGAGGCAAAAGGCACTTCTTAAAAAATGAGGAAAAAGTAAAAAGAGAAACCCCTGATAAACCTATCAGATCTTATAAGATTTATTCACTATCATGAGAATAGCAGGGGAAAGAACAGCTCCCATGATTCAATTACCTCCCCCTGGGTCCGTCCCACAATACCTGGGAATTCTGAGAGATACAATTCAAGTTGAGATTTGAATGGGGTCTCAGCCAAACCATATCAGCATGTACCTGGCTTCCTTGCGTAGGGTCTCCTAAGGCTAAAACCAAAGTGTCTACCTACAGGGCAGCATTGTCTTCTAGAGCTTGGGATCCTCTTCCAAGCTCACACAGTCGTGGCAGAATTTTATTCCTCGAGTATGTGGGACTGATGTCACCTTCCTTGCCCTGTGTCCCTCCCCATCTTAAAGACAGCAATAGAGGTTTTCCTTTGCATGTTTAAAATCTCTGTCCTCAGAATGAGCCCAGTCCCTATGAAGCACTCACTTAATTAAGTCAGGCCTATCCAAGATACCTCTTTTTCATAAAGTCAGCTGGGACATATAGCATGTCCTAACTACAGAAATGAAACTTATCACATTCACAGTCCTAAGAATTAACAAAAAAAAGCATGAACAACAGGGACAAGATATTTTAGAATTATTCCTACCATCATGGGTTTATTGTGTGAAGTTTTATTGACCTATACTCTTACTAACTGTATACTCTGTATTCAATTTAAAAATTTATTTAAAATGCATATATAAGTATAAAGAAAAGAGAATAGCTGAAGAACTACAAAAGAAGACATAATATAAGTTCAAATTCAAAAAGAATATTTTGCCAAAGTTTATGAGCTTTAGTTAAACTAAACACTACTAGTCTAGCTTATTGCTAAGTACATGTACGGTAAAAATACCCAACGCTTTGCCCTGGATTAGACTTTGGTTTACAATTTCAATATTGATGTATCTTAGGGACGAGGGAGGGCCCTCCTTAGGGCTCCCTAGTCCCTAAGATACATTAGTATTGAAATCAGGCCAGTTCATAACTCTACATTGGCCTCTAAGTATTCAAATTAAAAAAAAAGTTGCTCATCTATCACTTTAAATCAAAATTATAATTTTGAATGTGTGGTATTGAACAATAAGACTTTGTAGAGAATCCATAATTAGGTGCATGAAAATAAGAAACTTTGGTGTATGTTACAGGTGGTAATATAGATCAGTGAGGAAAAAGAAACTTTCAGTACACAGTCCTATGACAATTACTTATATATTTAAAACCAAATTTAAAAAGAACTTACTGAGCTGCTCCAGAGAACCTAAAATTTGCTAATACTCTGAGGACACAGAGAAAGCCTAGGGCTTGACTTTTTAAGAAATTTAAAATTTGACTGGGATAACCAATCATACAACGAAACTCACATGTGCCTAACAATGCAGCACTCACTCTAAATACAGTGTAAAAACAGAAAAAGGAAAGGAGTAATAAGAGTTGAAACAGCTTTATTTCAGAGTGTTTATAGAAAATAAAGACTGTGATCTAGGTTTTGAAGGATGACTGGTACCTGAATAAGAGCAGTGGTGGAAGATCGCCCACCTGTTGTGGGTTTGAACCAGGGCATGGAAGTAGTAGCTTCACAAACAGTGACTGGGGAAAGGGTGTATGCTGTGAAGAAGTGTTCAGGCATATCTTATTTTACCGTGCTTTGCTTTATCGCATTTTGCAGATACTGGAGTTTTTACAAACTGAAAATTTGTGACAAGCCTTCATTAAGCCAATCTACTGGCAGCATTTTCCAACATTATGTGTTCACTTTGTGCATCTATGTCACATTTTGGTAACTCTTGCAATGTTTCAAACTTTAATTACTGTTACTAGATCTGTGATAGTGATCTGTGATCTTTTGGGATACTAATGTAATTGTTTGGGATGCTGCAAACTGTGCCAGTATAAGACAAAAAAATTAGTCAATACATGCTGTGTGTGTTCTGACTGCCCGACGACCAGCAGTTCCCCTATCTCCCTTCCTCTCCTCAGGCCTCCCTAGTCCCTAAGATACACTAATATTGAAATTAGGCCAATTCAAAACTACACATTGTCCTCTAAGTGTTCAAATTAAAGGAAGAGTTGCTCATCTATCACTTTAAATCAAAAGCTAGAAATGATTAAGTTCAGCCAGGAAAGCATGCCGAAAGCTGAGAAAGCTAGGCATCTTGCACCAAAAAGTTAGTCAAATTGTGAACATACTAAGGATAAAGCAAAATAGCCTTATTGCTGGTATGCGGAAAGTTTTAGTGGTCTGGATAGAAGATCAAACCAGCCACAACATTCCTTTAAACCGAAGCCCAATCCAGAACAAAACCCTAATTCTCTTCAATTCTGTGAATGCTAACAGAGGTGAGAAAGTTGCAGAAAAAAAGTTGGAAGATAGTAGAGTGTGGTTCATGAGGTTTAAGAAAAGAAACCATCTCCATAAAAGTGCAAGTGCTGATGTAGAAGAAGCAACAAGTAATCCAGATAATCTAAGATAATTGATGAAGGTGGGTACATTAAATAATGGATTTTTAATTTAGATGAAACGACCTTCTATTGGAAGAAGATGCCATCTAGGACTTTCATAGCTGGACAGCAGAAATCGATGACTGACCTCAAAGCTTCACAGAACACAGAACAGGCTGAGTCTCTTGTTAGGGGTTAATGCAGCTGGTGACTTTAAGTTGAAGCCAATGTTCATTTCATTTACCATTCCAAAAATCCTAGGGCTATTAAGAATAATGCTAAATCTACTCTACCTGTACTCTATAAATGGAACAACAAAGCTTGGATGATAGCACATCTATCTGTTTATAGCATGATTTACTGACTGTTTTAAGCCCACTGTTGAGACTCACTGCTCAGGAAATAAAGTTTTCTTTAAAAATATTACCGCTCATTCACAATTTACCTAGTTACCCAAGTGCTCCAATATGGATGTTCGTGGAGATTAATGTTGTCATGTCTGCTAACATAACATCCATTCTGCAGCCCATGGATCAAGGAGTAATTGTAACTTTCAAATCTTATATTTAAGAAATACATTTTGTAAGGCTATAGTTGCCACAGATAGTAATTCTTCTGATGGATCTGGGCAAAGTAAATTGAAAACCTTCTAGAAAAAAGTTCTCCATTCTAGATGCCTTTAAGAACATTCATGATTCATGGGAGGACGTAAAAATATCAATATTAATGGGAGTGTGGAAGAAGTTGATTCCAACTCTCATGACAGACTTTGAGGGGTTCAAAGTTTCAGTAGAGGGAGTCACTGTGGATGTGGTAGAAATAGCATGAGAACTATAGTTAAAGATAGAGCCTGATTATGTGACTGAATTGCTGCTATCTCTTGATAAAACTTGGATGCATGAGGAGCTGCTTCTTATGGATGAACAAAAGAAGTGGTTTCTTGAGATGGAATCTATTCCTGGTGAAGATGCTGTGAGCATTGTTGGAATTACAACAAAGGACTTAGAATATTACACAAACTTAGTTGAAAAGGTGACAGCAAGGTTTGAATGGATTAACTCCAGTTTTAAAAAAAGCTCTGTGGGTAAAATACTACCAAATTGCTTCACATGCTACAGAGTACTCTTTCATGAAAGCAAAGGTAAAATGGATGCAGTAAACCTCACTGTTGTTTTATTTCAAGAAATTGCCATAGCCATTCCAACCTTCGGCAACCACCACCCTGGTCAATCAACAGCCTCAACATTGAGGCAAGACCTTTGACCAGCATATAGATTAAAACTCTCTGAAAGTGCAGATAAAGGTATTTTATTCTTAAAAATAATGATTAATTTAAGGTATGTACTTTTTTTAGACATAATGCTATTGCATTTTTATTAGACTACAGTATAGTATAAACATAACTTTTATACGTACTAGAAAACCAAAAACATGGTGTGACTTGTTGTATTCTAATATTGCCTTTATTGTGGTGGTCTGGAACAAAACCCACAATATCTCTGAGGTGTGCCTATATTTGATCAGAATGATTGGGGATAATTTGTGGAGTGCTGAAAATTCAGAGAGCCACTGTGTACCATAGAGAACAGCTGGAAAGCAACATGATGAAAGTGGCACTTCATAAAGATTAATCTGGGGGTGGTGTATACATAATAAAAGATTCTGAAAATGCAAAGGCAGGGAAACCAGAAGGTAATTTCCATAATGCAAGTTGGAAGTTTGGTACGCAGGTGGTGACTTTGGAACCAGAGGAGAGAGGGCAAGTCTTCATGATGCTTCATAGAAACAATTAGAACTGATGACAGCTCGTTTTTAACCGAGTAAGGTTAGAACTTGTTATCAATGTCTCTGTCTCCCTGATTTTCAACCTCGTTGGTCAGAAGATGGTGAGCATTGTAATAGAACTGAGGAATATCCACTGAGATCCAGTTTTAAAGATAAAGAGACCAGCCATAAGCAGGCATTTTGAACTTGAAAGGATAGCTCTATATCCAAATATCCATGCTCTTTGAAGATTGAAGCAGGCCTGGAAACAGTTCAGTTCATAATTAGATAAAGATTAAAATAGTGAGAATAGGAGCGTTATTGGAAGCCACAGGAGTAAAAGATTTCACAGTGAACATAAATGAGAGGAGAGACCACCAAAGGCTTAAGAAAAGTGTTTTGGGAAGCCATATCTGTTGTGAAAGTAAAGAAGAGCCTATCAAAGAATCAGAAAGAAAAGAACCCCAATTGAAATTAAGGGAACAGCCTAATAGAAGTGAAGAGGTAAGACCCATAGGACAAGAAGTACTCACCAATATCAAGTATGAGAAAAAAGAGAAACTGAGCACAGTAGGTTGATCACAGTTAACAGTAATTTATTATATATTTCAAAATAGCTAGAAAAAGAGATTTGCAATGTTCCTGAGACAAAGAAATGCTATGATAAATATTTGAGGTGATAGTCTAATTATCCTGATTCAATTGTTACATATTTTGTGCATGTATCAAAATATCACATATACCCCATAAATATGTACAAAGAAAAAATCAGATGTGTACAACCAAGAAAAACCATGTGTTTCAATTTGAAAAAATCAAAACCTTCATCAATTCATTCCATAAATGTTTATTAGCTCCTTGCTATCTACTGTGTATGCTTCTTCCTCATTGGCCCTACAGATTGTCAAGGAACACACAAAATTTAAAAATGATTTTTCAGGGTTCCCTGAGGTGGTGGGTATTGTAGAAGCAAAGATATTTGCCTGACATATGGTTGCTTTTTGATTTACTGTTACCGAATTTTCCAAAGTAAGGAGCATATTGCTAGATCAATGTGTTTATGAAGTTATTATCCTTCTAAGATTCTTGGTCCATTTTGCATCATGAAGTGATATCACCCTAAACTTGTAAACCAATGTTAGGCTTTTAGTGACTATGAGTAACTTTGAACAAATAGAAGTTTTTATGAATCCTCTATATATTTCCTTTTACTTTTTTAATGCTGGAAATTTTATTTACATGCAATAGGCTACATATTTCATTAGGAAATGTTAAGAACAATTTTATGGAAACTAAGACCATAGATTATCTAATGTCATATCAAGAAACCAAATCTTAAGGCTGTTCATGCACACCCATACACACACACATGCACACACACAAAAACATAAAGTCAATGTCAAATTTTGGTTATAATTATGTGTGTAAATACATAGGTGACATAATAATAATTATAGTAATTAAAATTATATTTAGATATTTAGAGAGCAATTATAAGCAATTCGCTGTTGAAAGTTTTTTTACATGTATTATTTTATTGAATACTATAGTTACATTTGGAACAAGCAACTATTATTATCATTTTTATTATACAGATAAATTGAGGCTCAGAGAGGCTAAGCAAATTAGTGAAGTTCACACAGCAATTAATCAGAAAAGCCAAGTTTTAAACTATATTTTATTAAGTGCTTTTTTAGTAATGGATGATTATTATTTGAAAGAAATTAGGTATTTTTGTTTTCAAATACCTCTTTTGATATTTACAAAGTCATCTTTATAGACTGAACTCAAAGATATCCCTTGTTTATTATAGTAATTCAGTCTTTCCTTTTGCTTAGACCCAGGGAGAATTTTTCTAGTCAAAGACAGACAAGAGGCAGACAGATTTGACATAATCAATTACCCATGGTCACTGCTATACTCTTTGCTTTTTTATTTTTTTTGCTAAAGGACTGGCCTGAGAATTATCAAGGCATGATTGAGGAAGACCTGTCTGCCAGCATCAGAATACACTACTTACAGAAATCTATCAGAGAATAACTTGCCTCCTGGTCTGTATTAAAAATACATACACAGATAGTAATGTATTCGCTACCATTTTCCATCTCTCAAAATAGCTGTCCAGCCCAAGGGAAGCTTTAACTTACTAAAAACACAACTTCTGCACAGAAAGCCTATCTACATCTGAAAAGCAAAGAAAGCTACCATTTTTAAGTTTTCACTTTAAAGCGAGAGAAACAAAGCATACGAATCTGTGTGTGTTAGCTTTGGCAGTTTATTTTGGAGTTTTTGTTGTCACACATAATAAGAAGTGTTGACTGCACCATATTTTAAAAAAATAGGATCTACCCCTGTCTACCTAATACGGTTAGATAGAATTTTCCCTCAAAATGTAAAAGCCTTATTGTTACCACTTTCCCTGAGGGTATCAGATCAGATAAAGAACTAAAAGACAAAACAAACCTTACAATATTCCTACTACCACCTAGAGTTGTAAAGAGAGTGTATATACAATATTTACATATTTGGGTAAAAATGCTTGTAAAATTCTGAAAATACAAAGAATACAGCTGCCAAATGATGACTATAACAAGAAATTTCCTAAAAGATTAACACCGTTCTTATTTTTATGCTTTGTATTATCATTGCTAAGTTTTTTTCATTGTCTTTTAATTTTTTTCTAGTCAAAGCTAGCTGTGCAGCTTTCCATTTTCATTTGAAAGTTTAAAGCCTCAAAACTGTCCAATTTCTTGTTTGAAGGCAAGACAGTTTTGTACTTGAAATCTATAATTTAAGCTTCCAACAGACTGCAGGCAATAAACATGCTATTCTCTTCCCTGAACTCTCTGCCCTGAATTTGGCTTCAGAAAATTAAGTTTGTCAGTGATGGAGACTGCCCAATGAACTTTAAAGTAGTATTTCTTTCAGGCAACTTTGAGTGCCTAAGAGAAAATCAGACCCCTGCTTCCTCCCCTACCCTCTTGCTGGGTTTCCAAAAAGTCCCACTGTGTCATTCTGAATCGAAACCATTGCTATCCTTCTAATAGGCTCTTGTCCTTTGACCCACTCTAGTTAGTTACACAGTGAGAAGCATTATGAGGTACTATCTTAGAATTTCAAATATAAGCATGAACTTGCTAAATGCCTATGTACCTTTAAGTACACATGAAAGCCCTTGGGCTATGCTCATTTCCAAAACTACACATCAAGTTTGCTAGCGCAAGTTAAGCCTAAAATGGTGATTTCCTTCAGGCAATTATTTGAGTATTCCGTATCCTGAATAAATAATGACAAATTGCAGCACTTTCAAAATTAGAATTGAGTTTATTTTACAGGGACATCGTTAAAGCCAATCATGGGATGGTATTAAATGATACTTTACAAAAGCCATCAAGCGTGTCTTTTGGAAGGATTATGACTTATATTGTTTGTATGTGCTCATTGTATTCTTTCAGTATCTACTGTGATAATAAATTTCTAAAACTAAAATGTTATTGTTTCATTATAGGAAGTCAAAATATATGTTATTACTTAACTTAGTAGTATTTACTTAATAGGTAAGTATTATTGAAAAACTCTTAAGCAGCCTGCAAATGTAAGCAAAGTGCAGTTTTTCTCAGGTCCTTTAACTTGGCATTCCAGTTGCCATGTGACTGTCATAATATTCACACAGTTATCAGACAATGGTTGTGCTGGTATATTCTCCATGTCTAGAGAGCTAAGAGAAATTTCTTGCTACTAAACCAGCAGAAACCACAGCCACTGTAATCTGAGATTCAATTAGTCTGCTGCCACATCTTTCTATGGCAAGACAGGCACACAGATCTCTAAATAGCATACGCTGCTGCACGGAAGGTAGTGTATAGCATTTAAATGTCCCCTACTATATGGACTGAAAAATTATGGCCAAGAGAGTGTTAGATTAAGCTATTTCTTAGGTTTAGAATAGTAAGAGAGTAAGCATTTTCTCTATGCAGAATTTGAAGATAGGATGTAAAATAAACCTTTAGCAATCTTTTCATCAATCTGTTCTTCAGAGACAACAAAATGTCTGTTTCTAAAATAAGAGGCATTGGGGCCAGGAGTGGTGGCTCATGCCTGTAATCCCAGCACTTCTGGGAGGCCGAGGCGGGTGGATCACCTGAGGTCAGGAGTTAGAGACCATACTGGACAACATGGTAAAACCTTGTCTCTACCAAAAGTACAAAAATTAGCCAGGCGTGGTGCTGGGTGCCTGTAATCCCAGCTACTTGGGAGGCTGTGGCAGGAGAATCCCTTGGACCCGGGAGGCGGAGGTTGCAGTGAGCTGAGACTGCACCATTGCACTCCAGCCTGGTCAACAACAGCAAAACTCCATCTCAAAAAACATAAAATAGACATTGGAAGCAGTATTGACTATTTTATGTTTAAGGTGTATTTTTGAAGAGTGTTGCAGTAGTTGAGGAAAAAGAGAGAGAAACATAAAAGTAGTTTTCATACTTAAATTTCTGTTTGTTACCTACTCATTAAAAGCTCTCCTGAAAGAACACCTTCCTATAAAATTTTAGTTCCAGAATCTATGAGGCACTTTATAAAAACAGCCAACTAGACCTCTGACATCAAAGCTTTTATCCTGCCTTTTTAGTTTTGTTAAAATGCTAAAAATTAAAAAGACTGGCATTTATCACCTTTATGTTTTAAAAAGAAATGAAATACTTGAAATTCTGGACGCTAATACTTTTGAAACTTTGCATGCTTTGCCCTGGCAATGTTCATGTATTCCTAATGATGGTGAGGCATTGCGGGTCAGTTACATACGGAGGAAGAAAGTCTTTGTCTGGAAGACTTTTCCAGCAGATGAGATTTAGCATCATTATTTCTGAAATATGACCTTCCCCAGCAGCATCTCTAATTATGCTCCCAAATTAGAACAAATACAGTCTGAAGACTAGACTTATCATTATGACTTACAGTGTTCAGTTTCATAGAAAAGTGAGCATTAATTGCAGCAAAAAAAAAGCATTAAAATTGTGGTATTGGAAAAGGAAGTCTTTTTAATGTAGTCATTCCTCTTGTTAGTAAATAATAGTGGCAGTAATTATGGACCATATGCTGGCCAAGCTCTTAAACAGACTTGGAAAAAAATCTGTCACTGTCAGCACTGTGGGCCTTGGTTACTTGGTTATGTCCTTGCTAGTATCAAGAGAGTGAGTGTGAACAAAAGTCATCTGTAGAAGCAGAACATGCGCTTAATAAATTTCAAGCTGCTGAATAGCCTCTCCAAGCAGCTCTTTCTAAAAAGTAAATGAAGGACACTGTCACCAAATTAATTATTTATGTGTATCTATCTTATTTTATAAATTGGCAGTCCTTGGCAGCATACATTTGAAAGGAAATGAATATTAATACCAGATGACATCACACAAACTGGCTCTTTACAAACTCTTTCCATATTAGCCCATAGAATTTTGTGGTCTTTTTTATTCTGGATGCTTTTATATATTTTTTCCTTTTCTTTAAACCTTGCCTACTTTTTAAACCTCCATAATTCCAAATGTTCTTTTTAAATACATCAATTTACTATTATTTTCTATTATTTAAATAATTTGTATACCATATATATGAATTTATCTTCATATATAAATTTATATGAATTGATCCAGATTATTTACATTTTAGGGAAAAATCTGTATCATAAAAACAGTCTCCTCTTTAGAGGAGACTGGCCTTCTGATTGCTACTGGTGCAGAGCCATGACCTTCTTGGACTGGGGCAGTGTTCAGAGTATTTCATTCATCATTTTGATACATATCACTCATTTTTCAGAGGCAGATAGGTGATTTCCCTTATGGCACTCTTTTTGGTTTTTTTGTGTAGTGGTTTTCAAAATAAAATAAATGTGCTCAGCTACTAATAATGACACCTGATAACACTTACAACTTACTGTATTCTAGCATATTTATTCATTAAATCTTCACAACAACCCTATGAGGTAGATATTACAGCTATCATCATTTTTCATATGGGGGAACTGAGAAACAAGAAAGGTAAACATTTGTCAAAGGTTGGGAAGCCAGTAAGAGACTGGTTCCTAAACCACCTGTGCTGATATCCCTCATACCATCCAAGTCACATCTTGCGTGTCTCTCTTACTCCCTCCTTATTTTAGGCTAAACTGTCTTCCTGCCCTTACTTTATGACAATTTCCCATGAGTCTTTTAGTCATAATTAGCAAACAAGCTCATGCTGGCTGTCGTTCTTGAGCCACTCAATGTTAGAGCCCTTGTTAATGGCTCTGCTGTGTGGCAGAGACTCTGCTGGACACAGGGCATATGGGCGTAAGTTAAAGACACATGGTCCTTGAACTCCTAGGACCTTGTCTAAAAGCTGTGCATCACAGCTTGTCAGCTTTATCTACCACATAGCAGAATCAGTTGGGAAGCTTTTAGGTATTTCTAAGCCCCAGACCACAACTGAGAATAATGAAGTCTGAATCTCTAGGGGTGGGATCTTGACAGTAGAATTTTATAAAGATCTCTGATCATTTCATGGGCAACCAAGGGTGAGAACCACTAGCTTCCAGTCTATCAGTAAGGCAGATAATAAAATATAATCACAGGAAAACTATATAAGTACAAAATGGGATATGAGCTACGAAAGGTAGGAACAAGTGTGAGGAGAGAGTCTATAATAGTTTTGAGATGGATGTCAAAGGAAGATTTCTCCAGAGAAGCATCAATTAAGCTAACGCCAAAATAATGAACAGAATCGAGTAAGATGAAGTCACTCTCATGAGCATTCTCGGAATTAGGAAACATGTGGAGGCCCTGCTGTGTTCCAAGAACAGACAAGGGCATCGTTGCTGAAGTACAATGCGCAAAGTGTCAGGTCATGTGAAACACAACTGGATGAGGATTGACGGTGCTTGTTATAGTCTCTGGCATAGAGTTGGTGCACAAGGCATTTTTTTTTTTTTTTGGTAAAATGAGGTAAAGGATATCCTGTAGTGTCTCTCCTCTGACACTTTTAAATAATTCTTTGCTTTCCTATAAACTTTGTGAGTAAGTTTGTCCTTCTGCACGCTAAGGAAGGCATAAGCTCAGCTGGGTTTACTCAGTTTTCCTAGGGCAATAGTCCCTTTGATTGTGGCATTTCACTGGCTCTACTTTCCAGTGAGCACCGAAGAGGTATCACAATGGGTCCAGGAAAGAGAGAGATGTTACAGCAGCTTGGGGCAGCCTGAGAGGCCATATGGGAAATGGTTGGGGGTTGGAATCAGAACCTCCTGTGGACTCCTGACTCTGTTCTACATTGAGTCTTCTTAAGCATCATCTCTATTTATAATTCCTTTCTTCTTGGCAATAGCCATCAGTCTTATTGCTTGATTCTGATATTGCAGTCACTGCCCTCTATCCTTACAAAAATGCCATTTTCTACTAAAATCTTACATTCTCACTCCAGAGTTTGCCCCAACTAGCTGACTTGGGCAGCCTTGAATTACTTTTGATCACCCAGTCATGTACTTAGATATTCTCAGCCTCCACCTCACCTTGTTACCTTGTGGCAGCAGATATAATTTCTTATGAACAGCAGGGTCATATTGCAGAAAATACTGGCATCTTAAAATGGTCTACATCTTAGGCTCTAAGGTATGACAGACAATTACAAGTCGCCTTAACGTAGTATCTCCTTAAATTCATTGGTATACATAATGTGGAAGAATCATTTAAAAATTAAGTACTATAATTTTTATTTTAAATTATAAGTTTATTTCTTGCTATCACATAAATATACATAATACATGTAACTATGTGTGTATATGGATATATAATATATAAATATGTACATCTATACAGTAGGGAGAAGAATTCAGCATTTATAAAGAATTATGTTTTTTGATTAATTTACTTTGACACAATTGTACATATTTATGGGGTACAGTGTGATGTTTCAATGCATGTATGCACTGTATAATGATCAAATCAGGGAAATTATCATATCTATCCCTTTAAACATTGATTTTTTTTCTTTGTGGTGATAACATTAACCATCTTCTCTTCTAGCTCCCTTGTAATAAAACCTACATTGTTATTAGCTGTAGTCACCTGACTACACAATAGATCACCAGAACTGCCGGGCACCATGGCTCACACCGACAATCCCAGCACTTTTGGGGGCAGAGGTGGGAGGATCACTTGAGCCCAGGAGTTTGAGACCAACCTGGACAACATAGTAAGAACTCGTCTACAAAAAAGTCAAAGCATCAAAACCACAGCCGGGAAAGTTGGCACATACCTGTAGTCCCAGTTACTTGGGAGGCTAAGGTGGGAGGATCTCTTGAGCTCAGGAAGCCAAGGCTGCAGTGGGCTATAATTGTGCCACTGCACTCCAGCCTGGGTGGCAGAGCAAGACCCTGTCTCAAAAAAAATAAAAAAATAAAATTAAAATATATAGAACACTAGAACTTATTCCTTCTACTAACTGTAATTATGTACCTGTTGAGCAACCTCTCTTCATTGGCCCTGCTCCCTTCCCCTGCCTAGCCCATGATAACCACGATTCTGCTATTTCTATGAAATGGACTTTTAAAAATTCTTCGTGTTTGTCTTTTTGCCTGGCTTATGTCACTTAACATAATATTTTTGATGATATGACCAATTAAGTTTTGATTTTCAAATTATTAAGCAGAAAGGAGTCAAGCATCATGTCCAGAAAACAAATGTGGAACTGACATAAAGTTCAGTGCACTTCCAGAGATTTTTTTTTTTTTTTGCACCAATGTATTCAGAAAGCTGGAACCCAGTGAGCAGTATCCACCCTCTTTTGTACTCTCACCTGCTTTGCTCCTTTCTAGACAGAATGTCTTGTTAGCCAAACGTTACTGTATCTGGGGGGTGGAACTTCTGGGGCATGAACTCTACAAACACTAGAAAGATACATAATGACCGGGTTTTGAACATTTAGAAAAGACTTCAGAACTCTGGTGAGAAGCTTTGAGAGGGCCATCCTTTATGTCCTGCAGGCTTTTTTTTTCCCCCCAGCTAATTATTGGATTTCTATTTTTATTTATTTATTTATTTATTTATTTATTTATTATTTTTTTATTATTATACTTTAAGTTTTAGGGTACATGTGCACAATGGGCAGGTTACTTACATATGTATACATGTGCCATGCTGGTGTGCTGCACCCACTAACTCGTCATCTAGCATTAGGTATATCTCCCAATGCTATCCCTCCGCCCTCCACTCACCCCACAACAGTCCCCAGAGTGTGATGTTCCCCTTCCTGTGTCCATGTGTTCTCATTGTTCAATTCCCACCTATGAGTGACAATATGCGGTGCTTGGTTTTTTGTTCTTGCGATAGTTTACTGAGAATGATGATTTCCAATTTCATCCATGTCCCTACAAAGGACATGAAGTCATCCTTTTTTATGTCTGCATAGTATTCCATGGTGTATATGTGCCACATTTTCTTAATCCAGTCTATCATTGTTGGACATTTGGGTTGGTTCCAAGTCTTTGCTATGGTGAATAGTGCCGCAATAAACATACGTGTGCATGTGTCTTTATAGCAGCATGATTTATAGTCCTTTGGGTATATACCCAGTAATGGGATGGCTGGGTCAAATGGTGTTTCTAGTTCTAGATCCCTGAGGAATCGCCACACTGACTTCCACAATGGTTGAACTAGTTTACAGTCCCACCAACAGTGTAAAAGTATTCCTATTTCTCCACATCCTCTCCAGCACCTGTTGTTTCCTGACTTTTTAATGATCGCCATTCTAACTGGTGTGAGATGGTATCTCATTGTGGTTTTGATTTGCATTTCTCTGATGGCCAGTGATGGTGAGCATTTTCTCATGTGTTTTTTGGCTGCATAAATGTCTTCTTTTGAGAAGTGTCTGTTCATGTCCTTCACCCACTTTTTGATGGGGTTGTTTGTTTTTTTCTTGTAAATTTGTTGGAGTTCATTGTAGATTCTGGATATTAGCCCTTTGTCAGATGAGTAGGTTGCGAAAATTTTCTCCCATTTTGTAGGTTGCCTGTTCACTCTGATGGTAGTTTCTTTTGCTGTGCAGAAGCTCTTTAGTTTAATTAGATCCGATTTGTCAATTTTGTCTTTTGTTGCCATTGCTTTTGGTGTTTTAGACATGAAGTCCTTGCCCATGCCTATGTCCTGAATGGTAAAGCCTAGGTTTTCTTGTAGGGCTTTTATGGTTTTAGGTCTAACGTTTAAGTCTTTAATCCATCTTGAATTGATTTTTGTATAAGGTGTAAGGAAGGGATCCAGTTTCAGCTTTCTACATATGGCTAGCCAGTTTTCCCAGCACCATTTATTAAGTAGGGAATCCTTTCCCCATTGCTTGTTTTTCTCAGGTTTGTCAAAGATCAGATAGTTGTAGATATGCGGCATTATTTCTGAGGGCTCTGTTCTGTTTCATTGATCTATATCTCTGTTTTGGTACCAGTACCATGCTGTTTTGGTTACTGTAGCCTTGTAGTATAGTTTGAAGTCAGGTAGTGTGATGCTTCCAGCTTTGTTCTTTTGGCTTAGGATTGACTTGGCGATGCGGGCTCTTTTTTGGTTCCATATGAACTTTAAAGTAGTTTTTTCCAATTCTGTGAAGAAAGTCATTGGTAGCTTGATGGGGATGGCATTGAATCTGTAAATTACCTTGGGCAGTATGGCCATTTTCACGATATTGATTCCTCCTACCCATGAGCATGGAATGTTCTTCCATTTGTTTGTATCCTCTTTTATTTCCTTGAGCAGTGGTTTGTAGCTCTCCTTGAAGAGGTCTTTCACATCCCTTGTAAGTTGGATTCCTAGGTATTTTATTCTCTTTGAAGCAATTGTGAATGGGAGTTCACTCATGATTTGGCTCTCTGTTTGTTGTTAGTGTATAAGAATGCTTGTGATTTTTGTACATTGATTTTGTATCCTGAGACTTTGCTGAAGTTGCTTATCAGCTTAAGGAGATTTTGGGCTGAGACAATGGGGTTTTCTAGATATCCAATCATGTCGTCTGCAAACGGACAATTTGACTTCCTCTTTTCCTAATTGAATACCCTTTATTTCCTTCTCCTGCCTAATTGACCTGGCCAGAACTTCCAACACTATGTTGAATAGGAGTGGTGAGAGAGGGCATCCCTATCTTGTGCCAGTTTTCAAAGGGAATGCTTCCAGTTTTTGCCCATTCAGTATGATACCGGCTGTGGGTTTTTCATAGATAGCTCTTATTATTTTGAAATACGTCCCATCAATACCTAATTTATTGAGAGTTTTTAGCATGAAGGGCTGTTGAATTTTGTCAAAGGCCTTTTCTGCATCTATTGAGATAATCATGTGGTTTTTGTCTTTGGCTCTGTTTATATGCTGGATTACATTTATTGATTTGCGTATATTGAACCAGCCTTGCATCCCAGGGATGAGGCCCACTTGATCATGGTGGATAAGCTTTTTGATGTGCTGCTGGATTCGTTTTGCCAGTATTTTATTGAGGATTTTTGCATGAATGTTCATCAAGGATATTGGTCTAAAATTCTCTTTTTTGGTTGTGTCTCTGCCCGGCTTTGGTATCAGGATGATGCTGGCCTCATAAAATGAGTTAGGGAGGATTGCCTCTTTTTCTATTGATTGGATTAGTTTCAGAAGGAGTGGTACCAGTTCCTCCTTGTACCTCTGGTAGAATTCAGCTGTGAATCCATCTGGTCCTGGACTCTTTTTGGTTGGTAAGCTATTGATTATTGCCACAATTTCAGATCTGTTATTGGTCTATTCAGAGATTCAACTTCTTCCTGGTTTAGTCTTGGGAGAGTGTATGTGTCGAGGAATTTATCCATTTCTTCTAGATTTTCTAGTTTATTTGCGTAGAGGTGTTTGTAGTATTCTCTGATGGTAGTTTGTATTTCTGTGGGATCGGTGGTGATATCCCCTTTTTCGTTTTTTGTTGCATCTATTTGATTCTTCTCTCTTTTTTTCTTTATTAGTCTTGCTAGCGGTCTATCAATTTTGTTGATCCTTTCAAAAAACCAGCTCCTGGATTCATTAATTTTTTGAAGGGTTTTTTGTGTCTCTATTTCCTTCAGTTCTGCTCTGATTTTAGTTATTTCTTGCCTTCTGCTAGCTTTTGAATGTGTTTGCTCTTGCTTTTCTAGTTCTTTTAATTGTGATGTTAGGGTGTTAATTTTGGATCTTTCCTGCTTTCTCTTGTGGGCATTTAGTGCTATAAATTTCCCTCTACACACTGCTTTGAATGAGTCCCAGAGATTCTGGTATGTTGTGTCTTTGTCCTTGTTGGTTTCAAAGAACATCTTTATTTCTGCCTTCATTTCATTATGTACCCAGTTGTCATTCAGGAGCAGGTTGTTCAGTTTCCATGTAGTTGAGCGGTTTTGAGTGAGATTCTTAATCCTGAGTTCTAGTTTGATTGCACTGTGGTCTGAGAGATAGTTTGTTATAATTTCTGTTCTTTTACATTTGCTGAGGAGAGCTTTACTTCCAACTATGTGGTCAATTTTGGAATAGGTGTGGTGTGGTGCTGAAAAAAATGTATATTCTGTTGATTTGGGGTGGAGAGTTCTATAGATGTCTATTAGGTCCACTTGGTGCAGAGCTGAGTTCAATTCCTGGGTATCCTTGTTGACTTTCTGTCTTGTTGATCTGTCTAATGTTGACAGTGGGGTGTTATAGTCTCCCATTATTAATGTGTGGGAGTCTAAGTCTCTTTGTAGGTCACTCAGGACTTGCTTTATGAATCTGGGTGCTCCTGTATTGGGTGCATATATATTTAGGATAGTTAGCTCTTCTTGTTGAATTGATCCCTTTACCATTATGTAATGGCCTTCTTTGTCTCTTTTGATCTTTGTTGGTTTAAAGTCTGTTTTATCAGAGACTAGGATTGCAACCCCTGCCTTTTTTTGTTTTCCATTTGCTTCGTAGATCTTCCTCCATCCTTTTATTTTGAGCCTATGTGTCTCTGCATGTGAGATGGGTTTCCTGAATACAGCACACTGATGGGTCTTGACTCTTTATCCAATTTGCCAGTCTGTGTCTTTCAATTGGAGCACTTAGTTCATTTACATTTAAAGTTAATATTGTTATGTGTGAATTTGATCCTGTCATTATGATGTTAGCTGGTTATTTTGCTCGTTAGTTGATGCAGTTTCTTCCTAGTCTCAATGGTCTTTACATTTTGGCATGATTTTGCAGTGGCTGGTACTGGTTGTTCCTTTCCATGTTTAGCACTTCCTTCAGGAGCTCTTTTAGGGCAGGCCTGGTGGTGACAAAATCTCTCAGCATTTGCTTGTCTGTAAAGGATTTTATTTCTCCTTCACTTATGAAGCTTCGTTTGGCTGTATATGAAATTCAGGGTTGAAAATTATTTTCTTTAAGAATGTTGAATATTGGCCCCCACTCTCTTCTGGCTTGTAGAGTTTCTGCCGAGAGATCCGCTGTTAGTCTGATGGGCTTCCCTTTGAGGGTAACCCGACCTTTCTCTCTGGCTGCCCTTAACATTTTTTTCCTTCATTTCAACTTTGGTGAATCTGACAATCATGTGTCTTGGAGGTGCTCTTCTCAAGGAGTATCTTTGTGGCGTTCTCTGTATTTCCTGAATCTGAATGTTGGCCTGCCTTGCTAGATTGGGGAAGTTCTCCTGGATAATATCCTGCAGAGTGTTTTCCAACTTGGTTCCATTCTCCCCGTCACTTTCAGGTACACCAATCAGACGTAGATTTGGTCTTTTCACATAGTCCCATATTTCTTGGAGGCTTTGCTCATTTCTTTTTATTCTTTTTTCTCTAAACTTCCCTTCTCGCTTCATTTCATTCATTTCATCTTCCATCACTGATACCCTTTCTTCCAGTTGATCGCATCAGCTCCTGAGGCTTCTGCATTCTTCATGTAGTTCTCGAGCCTTGGTTTTCAGCTCCATCAGCTCCTTTAAGCACTTCTCTGTATTGGTTATTCTAGTTATACATTCTTCTAAATTTTTTTCAAAGTTTTCAACTTCTTTGCCTTTGGTTTGAATGTCCTCCCATAGCTCGGAGTAATTTGATCGTCTGAAGCCTTCTTCTCTCAGCTCGTCAAAGTCATTCTCCGTCCAGCTTTGTTCCGTTGCTGGTGAGGAACTGCGTTCCTTTGGAGGAGGAGAGGCGCTCTGCCTTTTAGAGTTTCCAGTTTTTCTGCTCTGTTTTTTCCCCATCTTTGTGGTTTTATCTACTTTTGGTCTTTGATGGTGGTGATGTACAGATGGGTTTTTGGTGTGGATGTCCTTTCTGTTTGTTGGTTTTCCTTCTAACAGACAGGACCCTCAGCTGCAGGTCTGTTGGAGTACCCGGCCGTGTGAGGTGTCAGTCTGCCCCTGCTGGGGGGTGCCTCCCAGTTAGGCTGCTCGGGAGTCAGGGGTCAGGGACCCACTTGAGGAGGCAGTCTGCCTGTTCTCAGATCTCCAGCTGCGTGCTGGGAGAACCACTGCTCTCTTCCAAGCTGTCAGACAAGGACATTTAAGTCTGCAGAGGTTACTGCTGTCTTTTTGTTTGTCTGTGCCCTGCCCCCAGAGGTGGAGCCTACAGAGGCAGGCAGGCCTCCTTGAGCTGTGGTGGGCTCCACCCAGTTCGAGCTTCCAGGCTGCTTTGTTTACCTAAGCAAGCCTGACCCAATGGCGGGCGCCCCTCCCCCAGCCTTGCTGCCGCTTTGCCCTTTGATCTCAGACTGCTGTGCTAGCAATCAGCGAGACTCCATGGGCGTAGGACCCTCCGAGCCACGTGCGGGATATAATCTCCTGGTGCACCGTGTTTTAAGCCCATCGGAAAAGCGCAGTATTCGGGTGGGAGTGACCCGATTTTCCAGGTGCCATCCATTACCCCTTTCTTTGACTAGGAAAGGGAACTCCCTGACCCCTTGCGCTTCCCGAGTGAGGCAATGCCTTGCCCTGCTTCGGCTCGCACATGGTGCGCGCACCCACTGACCTGCGCCCACTGTCTGGCACTCCCTAGTGAGATGAACCCGGTACCTCAGATGGAAATGCAGAAATCACCCGTCTTCTGCGTCGCTCACGCTGGGAGCTGTAGACCGGAGCTGTTCCTATTCGGCCATCTTGGCTCCTCCCCCCGTCCTGCAGGCTTTTGCATGGAAAACATGTTCTCTAACCTTCTCCCTCCTTTCTTGCTCATTTTAATCCATGGTGTCTTCTGTTGGGAAAGTGCTTTAGATCATGGCCAGTGACATCTTTCAGGGCTTTCAAAGGTCCTAAGCAAAAAGACATAGGATGATTCTTTTATCAGATTGAATATAAGAAATTGCCATTTATGTTTGGCCACAAGGGTCAGATAACAGTTTCATAAATTTCAATTTACTGATAGCAAATTAAGGAAATATGGAGTTCTTAAAATTTTCTCCTGGGTTTTGTGATCCCAGTCACCAACACTCAAGTAGAATTCAGAACATAATTTCTACGTATAATGATGGTACAATTGACCAGGACCTCTCAGATTCTAGTGTGCATCTTAAGATCTTGAGGATGCTAAAAAGTCAGGATAAAATTACTGATCCACAATCACACTGTTGCCTTTTTTATTCATATATCAGCATTCATAAGTTAGTTGATGAGTTCTGGTCTAATTAAGGCAAGAACCTGAAAAAAAGCAATGAAGTAACCGAAGCAGGAAGGCAAAGGGCTAAAAATTCACAAAGGTGGCCAGGTGCAGTGGCTCACTCCTGTAATCCCAGCACTTTGGAAGGCCGAGGCGGGTGGATCAATAGGTCAGGAGATCAAGACCACCCTGGCTAACACAGTGAAACCCCATCTCTACTAAAAATACAAAAAATTAGCCAAGCATGGGGGCACACACCTGTAATCCCAGCCAGTCAGGAGGCTGAGGCAGGAGAATAACTTGAACCCAGGAGGCAGAGATTGCAGTGAGCCAAGATCATGCCACTGCACTCCAGCCTGGGTGACAGAGTGATACTCCATCCAAAAAAAAAAAATCACAAAGGTGCAGGTGTGATGACAACTGTGCTTCTTCAGTGCCCTTACAATGGTGCCATGAAATTTACTAAGCTCACCTGAGCAAAGATGAGGACCCTTTGCAAAGATCTTTTATATTTTTATTTTTTTCCCAGAAAAAGTAAAGATCTATCTTCTATACTCATATAGTAAATAACAGTTCAAGAAAAAATTTGGGTTTTGTTAAGTGTTTACAATGTAAGTTTTCTTAGGGGTGTTACTTGTTTAGAATTAAGGTTAACATGTACTTATTCAATTCTCATGCTGGCCCTTTGAAATTGGTATCATTGTCTTTATATTAGCAATAACATAATAAGACACAGACACAGATTAAGTTGGCTAAAACATGCAGAGAGAAGCCATTATTTTTTTCTGATTCTAACTGTATGATCTTTCTATTTTTACCAGTCTAATATTTCTAGAACAGTGCCTGGAACTAAGAGCCATTTGACATACATTTACTAGTGTTAGTCTGCTATCCAGAATTATTTTAAAGATAATTTGTTTGAACATTATGCAAGTGATTCAGAAGTACTGAACTTAATGTATCTTATTTATTTTAGCAGATATTACAACTTTTTCTTAATTTTAAAAGTTTTTTTCTTTAAAAACGAGACATTATTATTTAAAAAATCTTTTAACTGGCCGGCGCGGTGGCTCACACCTATAATCCCAGCACTTTGGGAGGCCGAGGCAGGCGGATCACCTGAGGTCAGGAGTTCGAGAACAGCCTGGCCAACACGGACAAACCCTGTCCCTACTAAAAATACAAAAACTAGCTGGCATGGTGGTGCATGCCTGTAATCCCCGCTACCCAGGAGGCTAAGGCAGGAGAATCGCTTGAACCTGGGAGGCGGAGGTTGCAGTGAGCCGAGATTGCGCTGCTACACTCTAGCCTGGGCAACAGAGAAAGACTCTGTCTCACAAAATTAAAAAAATAAAATAAAATAAAATAAAAATATTTTAACTATAATGAAAGAGTTGCGCTTTATTTTGTCATATTTCATGAATATTACTCATATATTTTTTGCTTTCACTTTTAAACCTTTTAAAGTTAGAATCCATGTGCAGAGCATTTCAATATTCAGCAAATATAAAAGTCAGTTTAGAGAGTAACATTTTAGATAATCCAAAAATAGTCTGTGATGTCCCAATATAGAAAATATAAATAAGTTCATCTTTAACATAATGTGAGTTTCCTGTTTTAACATTTAATGCCACTCTTAAGTTGGAAATACACAGATACTTTTTACAATCCTTAGAAAAACGTTTATCCCAATGATCATGTGTTATATGAGTTGCATTAATGTGAGTATTCTGCCAAACTATTGTCAAAAAATTAAGAATTTGCTTAAATTTTGAGATTTGATATTTCTTTCTAGAAATTTTTAGCTAAAATTTTGTTTATTTATTTATTTATTTTTATATTTTTGAGACACCGTCTCGCTCTGTCACCCAGGTGGGAGTGCAGTGGTGCAAACAAAGCTCACTGCAGCCTTGGCCTCAGGTTGGTCTAAAACTCCTGGACTCAAGCAGTCTTCCCACCTCAGCCTCCCAAAAGATTGGGATTACAAGTGTGAGACACTGTGCCTGGCCAAACTTTTTTCAATCTTTTTTTTCCCCTTCAATTTTTAAGTTCAGGGGTGCATGTGGAGGATGTGCAGGTTTGTTACATAGGTAAATATGTGCCATGGTGGTTTGCTGCACAGATTATTCCATCACCCAAGTATTAAGCCCAGAATCCATTAGCTATTCTTTCTGATGCTCTCCCTCCCACAACACCCCTCACAACAGGCCCCAGTGTGCACTGTTACCCACCATGTATCCATGTGTTCTCTTCATTCAGTTCACACTTATAAGTGAGAACATGCAGGGTTGGTTTGCTGTTTCTGTATTAGTTTGCTGAGGATAATGGCTTCCCACTGCATCCATGTCCCTGCAAAGGACTTGATCTCATTCCTTTTTATGGCTGCATAGTAATCTATGGTGTATGTGTACCATATTTTCTTTATAGTCTATCATTGATGGGCATTTAGGTTGATTCCATAACTTTACCATTGTGAATAATGCTGCAATGAAGATACATGTCCATGTATCTTCAGAACAGAATGGTTTATATTCCTTTGGGTATATATGGGATTACTGCATCAAATGGCATTTCTGCCTCTAGGTCTTTGAGGAATCACCACACTGTCTTCCGCACTGGTTGAACTAATTAACACTCCCACCAACAGTGTAAAAATGTTCCTTTTTCTCCACAACCTTGACAGCATCTGTTGTTTTTTTGACCTTTTACTAATAGCCATTCTGACTGATGTGAGATGGTGTCTCATTGTGGTTTTGATTTGTATTTCTCTATCAGTGATGTTGAGATTTTTTTCTATCGTTGTTGACCATATGTATGTCTTCTGTCCTTTTCCCACTTTTTCATGAGGTTATGTATTTTCTTGTATATTTGTTTAAGTTCCTTGTAGACTCTGGATATTAGACCTTTGTCAGATTAATAGATTGCAAAAATGTTCTTCCATTCTGTAGGTTCTCTATTCACTCTGATGATAGTTTATTTTGCCATGCAGAAGCTTTTTAGTTTAATGAGATCTCATTTGTCAATTTTTGCTTTTGTTGCAATTGTATTTGGCATTTTTGCCATAAAGTATTTTGCCCGTGCCTATGTCCTAAATGGTATTGCCTAGATTTTCTTCTAGGGTTTTTATAGCTTTGAGTTTTAAATTTAAGTATTTAATCCATCTTGAGTTAATTTTTGTATATGATGTAAGAAAGTGGTCCAGTTTTAATTTTCTACATATGGCTAGCCAGTTCTCTCATGATCATTTATTAAATAGGGAATCCTTTCCCCATTGCCTGTTTTTTTCAGGTTTGTCAAAGATCAGATGGTTATAAGTGTATGTCCTTATTTCTGAGATCTCTAGTCTGTTCCATTGGTCTATGTGTCTGTTTTTGTACTGGTACCATGCTGTTTTGGTTACTGTATCCTTGTAGTATAGTTTGAAGTTGGGTAGCATGATGCCTCCAGCTTTGTGTTTTTTTTTGCTTAGGATTGTCTTGGCTATTTGGACTCTTTTTTGATTCCACATAAATTTTAAAATAGTTTTTTCTAATTCTGTAAGGATTAAACTATTAGAAAATAGTTTAATGGGGATACCATTGAATATATAAATTACTTTGGGCAGTATGGCCATTGTCATGATATTGATTCTTCCCAGCCATGAGCATGGAATGTTTTTCGATTTGCTTGCGTCCTCTCTGATTTCTTTCAGTACTGGCTTGTAGTTCTCCTGGAAGAGGTCCTTCACTTCCCTTTTAAGCTGCATTCCTAGGTATTTTATTTTTTTACAGAAATTATGAATGGGAGTTCATTCATGATTTGGCTCTCTGCTTGCCTTTTGTTAGTGTATAGAAATGCTAGCAATTTTTGCACATTGATCACTGTTTTTTAATTGATTCTTTCTCATCTTTGTGGTTTTATCTACCTTCTTTGAGGTGGCTCATCTTCGAATGAGGTTTTATGGGGTCTTTTTTGTTGTGTTATTGTTATTGTTTTATGTGTGTTTATTTTTAATAGTCAGGCCACTCTACTGGAGGGATGCTGTGGTTTGCTGGGAGTCTGCTCCAGACCCCAGTTGCCTTGGTTTTCCCTGAACCTGGAGGTATCACCAGTGAAGTCTGTCAAACAGCAAAGATGGCAGCCAGCTCTCTTTCCTCTGGAAGCTCCTTCCCAGGGTCATACTGACATGTTTCTGGCCTGAACACACCTGTAGGAGGTGACTGGAGACGCCTGTTGTCAGATGTCACCCAGTCAGGAGGAACGGATTAGGGACTCACTTAAAGAAGCAGAAAGGTTATTTTTTGGTAGAGTAGGTGTGCTGTGTTGGGAGGCACTCTTTTTCATCCAAACCATTTGTATTCCTCAAAGCCAACAGGCTGGAACAGCTGAGTGCACCAAACCTCAGAGATTGTGGCCACCCCCTAGCCCTGCCCCTGGGAGCTTCGTCCTAGGGAGAGATCAGAGTTCTACCTGTAGAACCCTGGCTGGAGTGGCCAAAGCCCCCGGCAGGGAGGGAGGTCCTACCCAGTGAGGAGGAATGGATTGAGGTCCCACTTAAGGAAGCAGTCTGGCCACGATCTGGCAAGGCAACTGTGCTGCGTTCTGGGAGACCCTGCCTTATTCGGACCATTTGTATTCTCCAAAGCTGGCAAGCTGGAACAGCTGGATCTACCAAACTGCAGAGATGGTGGCTGCTCCTTCCACCAGGAACTTGGACGCATCTCAGGCAGATTCCAGCCTGTTGCTGTTGGCTGGCTGAAATTCCAAGCCAGTGGGTCTTAACTTGTGAGGTGCTGTGAAAGTGAGGCCCACAGAACAATGCTGATCGGCTCCCTGGATTCAGCTCCCTTCCTAGGGATATGTAGAGACAGATTGCCCACCTCACCAGGGATCCCAGGGCTAGAGTATGTAAAACTCTTGGGTCTCTGTGTGCGCCTGAGTGGCTGCTCTGCTGAGACTCCACGTAGCTCTGTGTATGGGACCCAAGGTCCTGGTGGCATGGGCTCACGAGGGGATCTCCTGATCCACGGGTTGCAAAGATGTGTGGGAGAAGCGTGGCTTCCTGGATGTATCTACACAATCACTCACTGTTTCCCTTGGCTGAGGATGGGGGTTCCTTTGGCTCTATGCCCCTACCCCCTGCTTTTCTTCATTCTCCGTGAATCAATTTGTTTGCCTAGTCAGTCCCAGTGCGAGAATTTGGATATTTCAGTTGATGGTGCTGAATTCACTTGCCCCTTTTCATTCCTCTCCGTGAGTGCTGCCAACGCAGATGCTTCTAATCAGTCATCTTGGATTGACAATTGATATTTGATATTTCAATAGAGTAAAAAGTATTCTGAGGATGTAGAGCAAAGCGTGTTTTATAAAACCAGAAATGAGATGCACTATTTTGATTGTGGATGCATGTGATGTTTTATTATTTCTTTACTGTTATGATACTATTTCATTTCCAAATCAACTGTTTTTGAGTTACTACAGATGAAATATAACACCACTAGAGATTTGATTACAATTAATTTCAGTCTTAAAGACAGAGATAATCAACGCTTTATTTAGCCTATTTGTGTTGTCATAATTTTTAAAGCAGTGCTTCTCCAATTATGAAAATTATTGCCAGTTTTTTGTGTTTCCTTAGCTCTGAAAGGGTTTTCTTTCACCTATCAATAAAATTTATAACTGTCATGGAAGGCATGCATCAACATACATCAGGAAAATGTTGGATGGCAGTAAAAAACTTCATAGTGCAAACACTGAAAAAAATTATTTGCCAGGTGGATTGCTTCAACCCAGGAATTTGACACCAGGCTGGGCAACAGGGTTAAACCCATCTCTACCCAAAAAACATAAAAAAAATTAGCTGGGCTTCGTGGTGTGTGCCTATAGTCCCAGCTACTCAGGAGACTGAGGCAGGAGAATTGTTTGAGCCTGGGAAGTCAAGGTTGCAGTGAGCCACGGTTGTGCCACTGCACTCCAGCGTGGGTGAGACAGGAAGACTCTCTCTCAAAAATAACAATAATCATTATTATTTGCTGTTATGTTAACAACATAAATTCTCTTAATAACTGTTTGTCAGTTATATACACAGATAAACAAAAATACAAGTAAATTGGCCATGGAAGAAAGCAAGTGGTAACAAATGCAAACATATAATTTTATGTTTTTGTTATAAAATTGCTTGTATTTTATTCTGATAGCAAAAGAGCATGTAATATTTTTAAAAAATCTTCAATATATAAAGAGCTTCTATGCAAAGATCTCCAAGCTTTTATAGGTTATTTATGACACCAATAGGAGAGTGTGTATGTACATAATGTTTGACATTGAAATCAATGTTAATGATATGGGCTATGGATATTGCCCAAACCTAAATTACATTATTGAATAGTCTGGTTATTGATGATAGTCTGGTTGATTCTACTTAAATTTGTCTGAGATTTTCTTGATATCCTTGTGTTTTCAATTGCATTTCTTATAAATAGGTTTTATGGAATAGAAGCATACTCACACATGCATACCTGTCACAAAATCCTTGGATGCAATATAGTTTGGTGATTTAGAACCTTATTTCTTGAAGTATGGTCAACAACCAGCAGTAGCAGTATCACCTCTGAGATTGATGAAATCTCAAATGTCAGGCTGAATCCCAGACCTGGATCTTTCGAAACCTTTAGGTGATTTCTACACAAAATATTATGGAGTACTGCGATAGAACCTGGGTTCTGGGGGAAGAAAAACCTGAATTTCTCAACCCTGGTTTCCTCATGTATAAAATGAGATTAATAATACTTTCCATATTGTTCTATTTTGAAGAGTAAATAAAATTATATATGCAAATTAACTAGCATGATGCCTGGCTTAAATATTGCATTTACTAAAAAGCAGTATTTCTAGGGGTCATTAGTAGGCCACGTAGCATGACACAATCACAAGCCTGGAGCCTAAGTACACATTAATTTGTTGAGGAGTAGATAAAATATATCTTCTATTCGTTAGTTAAATAATGACCAGTCACAGCTGAAATAAATTTTCTTCTGTACATCTTGAAAATGAAAAAAAATTTGAATATATTCCTTTTTATTTTCATAAATTTAGGATTGCCTTTTCTAATAAACTCACAGCCTTTCCTCTCTTTATATTAATGGTCTACACTCTAAATATAGTTTGTCTCATTTTTCATGGTTTCAGCAAATCAATGCAGTGCTGTGTAAAATGCACTGTTTTAGCCACTATATGACAGCACTGTGCATAATCATATTCTGTGGGATTATACAGAAAATGCTAGAGAAAAAAATAATGGTTACTTCACCTACATCAAACGCATTTATTTCAACACTTTTTGAATATTTGCTAAGTTCCAAGCACCTGTCTAGGCAATGAAGCCACAACATTGAACAGATGAAAATACCTTTCCTCATGAGTTCTACATTCTAGTAAGTCGGCTAACATGTTATGCTATGACTATAACAAATAAACTAAACAGTGACACTTACAACCTTATATATAGTCTTGCATGTGTGATTGTATGTACACACCCACACATCCCCAACCCATTCTTTCTTAGATATTTTGGTTTTCTTTGTTAAATTTTATAATCATTTTTGGTGGTGAGAGTAGAAGTGAACCATGCCCCTTGGCTAAATTGATAGTGTAAAATATAGCACACAGGTAAGCCATGCCGTATTTTTTTGCCATTTTATTTTCTTATGCCATCCTTTATGAACCATAACCTAAAGTATTACGAGGCAGTATAGGTTGAGATTTACCAGTTTTGAGTACCTATAAACCAAATTCATTTTTAATATTGTAATTCTTGACTCTACCACTTTGTAGTCTTTTAACCTCAAGCAATTTAGTTAATATTTGTCTTAGTTTTCATGCTGGATAAATTAAGATAGTATCAGTACTTACTATCAGTGACTTTTGAGTGTGAAGTGATATAACAGAGGTACAGTACTTAGCAGAGATCCTGTAATACTTAGACACAAGGATAAACAATTCTACTTATAATTGTTAATTTGAATACATATTAGTAGTAATAATAATGATTAATCTATTCACCTTAATTCTTATATTTTCACCATAATTTAACCATACGTTGACCTAAACTTTATTATTAATTCTACAAAATGATCCTACATTAGCTATGACCTCAATCTGATAAATGATGCTGCTTTACATACAGTTTATTTGTCATTTCCCACATGTGCATATTCAATCAACTTCCCATTTTTTCACAACCCTTCTTTGGGGGCACTTGTTTTCATCTATATGAATACAAGGGGTTACTTAATCTCTCTGAATCTCAGTTACCTTGAATTTAAACATGGACTCAATGCCAAACTCATGAGGTGGTTGTTTGGATTAAATAACAATAATTATAATAATAATTATAAATAACAATAATTAACATAGTCTCTGGAAAATGGTGAGTGGTCAATAATTTCTTTCTACAAAAACACCTTTAAAATTTCTACGTATTTAAAGGCAAGATTTATAATATAGCAAAAAAATAGGTCAAATGAACCATCTCCTCTCTGTTTTCAATATGTTATTTTATTATTAGTATTCTTTATTTTATTTTATTTTATTTTATTTTATTATACTTTAAATTTTAGGGTACATGTGCACAATGTGCAGGTTAGTTACATATGTATACATTTGCCATGCTGGTGTGCTGCACCCATTAACTCGTCATTTAGCATTAGGTATATCTCCTAAAGCTATCCCTCCCCCCTCCCCCCACCCCACAACAGTCCCCAGAGTGTGATGTTCCCCTTCCTGTGTCCATGTGTTCTCATTGTTCAATTCCCACCTATGAGTGACAATATGTGGTGTTTGGTTTTTTGTTCTTGTGATAGTTTACTGAGAATGATGATTTCCAATTTCATCCATGTCCCTACAAAGGACATGAAGTCATCCTTTTTTATGTCTGCATAGTATTCCATGGTGTATATGTGCCACATTTTCTTAATCCAGTCTATCATTGTTGGACATTTGGGTTGGTTCCAAGTCTTTGCTATTGTGAATAGTGCCGCGATAAACATACGTGTGCATGTGTCTTTATAGCAGCATGATTTATAGTCCTTTGGGTATATACCCAGTAATGGGATGGCTGGGTCAAATGGTATTTCTAGTTCTAGATCCCTGAGGAATCGCCACACTGACTTCTACAAGGGTTGAACTAGTTTACAGTCCCACCAACAGTGTAAAAGTGTTCCTATTTCTCCACATCCTCTCCAGCACCTGTTGTTTCCTGACTTTTTAATGATCGCCATTCTAACTGTTGTGAGATGGTATCTCATTGTGGTTTTGATTTGCATTTCTCTGATGGCCAGTGATGATGAGCATTTTTTCATGTGTTTTTGGCTGCATAAATGTCTTCTTTTGAGAAGTGTCTGTTCATGTCCTTCACCCACTTTTTGATGGGGTTGTTTGTTTTTTTCTTGTAAATTTGTTTGAGTTCATTGTAGATTCTGGATATTAGCCCTTTGTCAGATGAGTAGGTTGCGAAAATTTTCTCCCATTTTGTAGGTTGCCTGTTCACTCTGATGGTAGTTTCTTTTGCTGTGCAGAAGCTCTTTAGTTTAATTAGATCCCATTTGTCAATTTTGTCTTTTGTTGCCATTGCTTTTGGTGTTTTAGACATGAAGTCCTTGCCCATGCCTATGTCCTGAATGGTAATGCCTAGGTTTTCTTCTAGGGTTTTTATGGTTTTAGGTCTAACGTTTAAGTATTCTTTAAAAATTCCCACACTCCATATCTCCTGTCCTCATTTTCAAAATTAAATTATGAATAAAAAATTGAAAATTTACATAGTAGAAAAGAAATGAAAATGTAAAGTAAAAAGCAAAATATGGAAAACCATTGCATAACTATCATGTAAGCAGTTTAGGTAAGAAACACTGCAATGGTTCACAAGTAGGATAGACGCACTATGCAATGAAGTGGTTTCCAGAGTGCTTTGGAGAACGGATTAATTATCTTTGAAATAGGTACCCTAACCATGGAAGTACATTTGCATTCAGGAATGCTGCTTGGACACAATTTCTGGGAAGGGACCAGAAAAAGACTGATGCTCCTGTAACAGCTCCTGTACACAATAGTGTTAGTCCTTTTTCACACTGCTAATAAAGACACACCCGAGATTGGTCAATTTACAAAAGAAAGAGATGTAGTGGACTTACAGCTCCACATGTCTGGGAAGGTCTCATAATCATGGCAGAAGGTGAAAGGCATCTCTCATATGGCAGAAAACAAGAGAAGAGACTTGTGCAGGGAAAACTCCCATTTTTAAAACCATCAGATCTCCTGAGACTTCATCACTATCATAAGAATACCATGGGAAAGACCTGCCCCCATGATTCAGTTACCTCTCGCCAGGCCCCTCCCATATTATTCCTTCCAAATCTCATGTTCTCACATTTCAAAACCAATAATGCCTTCCCAACAGTGCCGCAAAGTCTTAATTCATTTTAGCATTACCTCAAAAGCCCACAATCTAAAGTCTCATCTGAGACAAGGCAAGTACCTTCCACCTATGAGCCTGTAAAATCAAAAGCAAGCTAGTTACTTCCTAGATACAATGGAGATACAAACATTGGGTAAATACAGCCATTCAAAATGGGGGAAATTGGCCAAAACAAAGGGGATACAGACCCCATGCAATTCTGAAATTCAGTGGGGCAATGAAATTTTAAAGCCCCAAAATGATCTCCTTTGACTCCATGTCTCACATCCAGGTCACACTGTTGCAAAGATGTGTTCCCGTGGACTTGGGCAGCTCTGTCCCTGTGGCTTTGCAGGGTATAGCCCCCCACCTCCTTGTTGCTTTCACTGGTGTTGAGTGTCTGGCTTTTCCAGGCACATGGTGCAAGCTGTTGGTGAGTCTACCATTCTGGGGTCTGGAGGATGGTGGCCCTCTTCTCACAGCTCTAGTAGGTGGTACTCCAGTAGAAACTCTCTCTGGGGGCTTTGACTCCACATTTCCTTTCCATACTGCCCTAGCAGAAGTTTTCCATGAGGGCCCTGCTCCTGCAGCAAACTTCTTCCTGGACATGGAGGCATTTCCATACATCCTTTGTAAGACTGGCAGAGGTTCCCAAATCTCAATTCTTGACTTCACTGCACCCACAGGCTCAACATCACATGGAAGCTGCCAAGGCTTAGAGTTTCACCCTCTGAAGCAACAGCTTGAGCTGTACCTTGGCCCCATTTAGTCATAGCTGGAGTGGCTGGGATGTAGGGTACCAAGTCCCTAGACTGCACACAGCAGAGGGACCTGAAACCTGGCCCACAAAATCATTTTTTCCTCCTAAACCCCCAGGCCTGTGATGGGAGGGGCTGTCACAAAGGTCTCTGACATGCCCTGGAGACATTTCTCCCATTGTCTTAGTGATTACCATTCAGTTCCTTGTTACTTATGCAAATTTCTGCATCCAGCTTGAATTTCTCCCCAGAAAATGGGACTTTCTTTTCTATTGGATTGTCAGGCTGCATATTTCTCAAACTTTTATACTCTGTTTCCCTTTTAGACATAAATGCCTTTAACAGCACCCATGTCACCTCTTGAACGCTTTGCTGCTTAGAAATTTCTTCCACCAGATACCCTAATTCATCTTTTTCATGTTCAGAGTTCCACTGATCTCTAGGGCAGGGGCAAAATGCTGTCAGTCTCTTTCCTAAAACATAATGAGAGTCACCTTTGCTCCAATTCCCAACAAGTTCCTCATCTCCATCTAAGACCACCTCAGCCTGAATGTCATTGTCCACATCATTATCAGCATTTTGGTCAAAGCCATTCAACAAGTCTGTAGGGAGTTTCAAACTTTGCCACATTTTCCTGTCTTCTTCTGAGCCCTCCAAATTGTTCCAACCTCTGCCTATTACCCAGTTCCAAAGTCACTTCCACATTTTCAGTCATCTTTTCAGTAGCACCCCACTCTACTGGTATAATTTACTCTATTAGTTCATTTTCACACTGCTGATAAAGACATACCTGCGACTGGGCAATTTATAAAAGAAAGAGGCTTAATGGACTTACAGTTCCATGTGGCTGGGGAGGCCTCACAATCATGGTCGAAAGTAAAAGGCATATCTCACGTGGCAGCAGACAAGAGAAGAGAGCTTGTGTAGGGAAACTCCTATTTTTAAAACCACCAGATCTCCTGAGAGTTATTCCTATCATAAAAACAGCATGGGAAAGACCTGCCCCCATGATTCAATTACCTCCCACCAGGTTCCTCCCACAACACATGGGTATTCAAGACGAGATTTGGGTGTGAAGACACAGCAAAACCATATTAACAATCTTCCCAACCCCTCAAGACATAGTAAAAAACACTTCTTTTTAAAGATGAGAATATTGTGATAAGAAACCTTTAAGCAGGATGATCAGTGTAACAATTTAGCCACGATTTATCTTAGATCAGTCTGAAGTCAAAGTCTGTGCCTCTTCATTTTACTTTACATTCCTCTAACAACAAAGACAGCTTTGGCATATTACCTAGAGATAATTCTGAGAAAGCTGAATGGGGTTGTATTATAGGTCATTTTGAATGTCCTGTTATGAATTTGGATTTTAACCTGAAGGTAATGTGAAGTCACTGAAGGTGTATGAATTTGGAAGTGACATTATTAAATAAATTGGTTTTATTAAGCACCATCAAAGATCAAGAGAGAAATGTCTCTTAATTATTTTCTAAGCCTTCTATTCTTGCTTCATTCTGGGGTGCAATAATAACTTTATTCCTTACTTTCTCTTCAACTAAATATACAACTTAATTATTAGAGGCATTTACTATCCTCTTGAGGCAAAATGCCTTTTTTTGAATCCTGACGAAGCCACTAACTAGTTGTGTAACTTTGGGTAAGGTGCCCCAGTCCTCATCTTAAAGTGTGGATTATATCTATTTTAGAATGTGGTGTGAAGTTAAATGAGTTGGTGCATATAAAGTGCTAACAATATGCTTTGGCATATATTGTATTATTTTGTAATATATAACATATAATATTTTGCTGTGTTTGTTTTGTTATGTTGTTGTAATTATCCCATTACATTCTAAAAAAGGATAAAAGACATCTAAAAATAGACTAGCAGAAGGAGGAATTCTGGTATATAGGGTAAGGAATTCTAGTAATAGCCAGTAACTAACATATACTTAAGAAAACCTGCCTGTAGTATTAAGATTGCAATAACCTGGCATAACTACTGTAGAAATAATGAATTTAATTAATGTTCTTAATGGGTGGAAAGATGAATAATTAAACAGTTATTTTCAAATCACTATTTTTAGCATTGGCAAGCACTGGTATTATAAAGTTTGTGTTTAGATATTATATACCACCTTTTAAAAGTTGCAAGAAAAAGTGACATATTTTCTATTACATTATATAGCCTAGAGAGATTGGGGGCTAATAAGCATTTTACATAAATGTCTCAAACTCCATACATTAATTGCACTTCAAAATTAATAATAGAGGTACATCATAAACTCTTGAGATTTGTTTTTTTTTTCCGTGAATAAGATTACTGAAGTAGATCCATTACATCCATTCATCCATTCATTCAATCCACAGATGTTTATTGTTATAAAGTAAGAAAGACATAATCCATGTCCTTAAGTATCATATAGTCTGTTTGATAAGGCCCAAAAGAATATAATTTTAAAAACACATGACAACAATGACAAAAATATGTGCAATGTATCTGGGAAGCGTTGAATAGGAAGACAAAATACAAGAAAAATCAGGGAAGCCTTGTTAGAAGAGATGGTCTGGCAGCTGCCAGTGGAGAGGTAGAAGTGGGATAGAGGAAAGATATATAGGCATAGCAAGATAAGCAACTGAAGCCTGATATAAAAATGGATGGTTCTGGGAGCAACCTTAAAGAAGTCTAAGGATTTTAGACAATTAACATGACTGAGACAAAACATTAAATTCATAATTACCTGTCAGTTCACCAGAAAGATTTGGTACCTTAAATATACTTGTTCCAAATTGTGTAGACATATGTAATTGAATGTCTCAATATTTGATTTGCAAATGAAAATGCATAAAACAATAGAACGAATAAAATAAGACACCAGATATTTGAAGTGAAGAAGTGGCAGATAGAAATAAACTCAGCAAAGAGAGGAGTTTTGTGGGCAGAGAAACCCGTTGCCAAACTTTTAGAAATTTGATAATAGGATTTGAGAAACCTTATTATTTCTGTACTCAACAGCCATTCCTTCATTATTATTGTCAAATGAATCTGACCCTAATTTTGTTCAGGTGGCGATATATTCCAGACAGGTAGTTTTCTCCACCACATCAGAGAATGAATCACAATTATATTAAAACTGATTGAAGTACTGTACTAGCATTTGTTTCAACTAGTAAGTAGTTTAGGAATGGGCATGTAACCCTGGCTGGCCAATGAAACTTTCTTCTGAAAGCATAAAAGGTATGATTTCTATGAAAAGGCTTCTTCTGGTAAGGAGACAAATGCAAGGAAAAATCATATCTTCTTTCTTTGGATGATGTTATAAAAGGACACAATGCATAGAAACTCTGTTGCCCTAGTGTGACCAAAAGCTGAACACCCAGAAATGTATCCATACATCTGGTTAAAATGGAGCCTCAGAATTCACCAATTCTGAGCTATCCCACTTTCAAAGTTGTATAAAGTTCCCAGAAAGCTGCATGGAAAGGTAGTGAGAAACAAGTTTATGAAGGACTTTTTATGCCATATTAAAAAGTCTGAACTTCCTGTTGTAGCCAAATGGAAACCACACTAATTTAAATATACAAAGTGATATGATCAGGGTTTTGTTTGAGACAAGACAAATAGTGCCTAGAGGGATCTGAAAGAAACAAGATGCTATAGTTGGAGATCTGATTCTCTGAACCTCATGTTGAAATTTAATCCCCAATGTTGGAGGTGGGGCCTAATGGGAGATGTTTGGGTTATGGGGGTGAATCTCTCATGAATGGCTTGGTGCTGTCCTCCTGGTAATGAGTAAGTTCTCTGTTAGTTTCTGTGATTGTTCCCCCATGAGCTGGTTATTGAAAAGAACCTAGTACCTTTTCCCTCTCTCTTACCATGTGATCTCTGGACTCCCTTCCCCTTCTGCCTTGAGGCCTCACCAGAAGCAGATGCTGGCACCATGCTTCTAGTGCAGCCTGCAGAACTGCGAGCCAGAAAAAAACCTCTTTTCTTTACACATTATATACCAGCCTCAAGTATTACTTTATAGCAACAAAAATCAATGAAGACACAAGATTAGTGGCAGAGACAACAAAAAAGAAATTGTTGTCAAGTCATCAAGACATGATGAGAGATGGAATAGGAAAGGCAAAAGAAATTCTCCAGAATGTTTTAATCATTGCATTCAAAAACTATGTTTCTCTATTACAAATGGAGACTTTTTCAGAGTTAAGAATAACACTCTTCCATGAATATTTAAATACTTTGAATTATTTTCAAAAAGTTCTGAGGAATGTTATTTAGCAACAACAAAATTGTGACTAATTTTAATCTTTGATATACATAAAATATACTATAAATTTTGACAAAATATAAAAATCACTGTTTAGAAATGTATTGCTTTCAGAAATCACAGCATGCTATATTGAATGCACAGAGAGACAGACCAAATCAAATTTAGTAGAATTAATTTGTCATTTTGTTATTTTATGTAGATTGAAGGGAAAGTTACTCTCTTGATATCATCTGTATTGAAACAGGATTTTAAAATATTGACTTTCAATCAGATAAACTATCTGGATTAATGCTCTGATTATAATATTTAGAATATGCCAGTGGAATCCCATTAAAATATTTAGCAACAAAACTGAGATAATTATGTTTACTTCAAAATGTTCTCATTTTGAATATGTGAACATTGAACTTTTTAATATACATTTGTTATACTTTAGCATGCAATAAACAATTCCACTTAGATGCTATGAGGGTGAAATAATACTTCTTAATGTTAAATGAAAAGATAAGAACTGTCTTACATGCCTGCCTAATCCAGCAGAATTTTTCTTAATCATTAATGTTTAAAATTAATGAAATGCAGCTAATTTAAGAAAAGCTGCTTTATATTATTTAAAATATAGCACTGGAAGTTTAGTATAACATATTTATTTTAGTACATATCAACATAGGGGAATTTATGAGAGGCAGGGAGAACAAACTCAATGCTATGTTTGCAATTAGAGGGATCCTGAATAAATATAGAGAAACAACCTTCAGGCAATAAGATGTTAAACAGTTTTTGACAAATCAGAGGCAATATTTATTAAGCTCACTTTCTCATGTCAGTGTAAGGAAATGTCTCATTTGTTGGTGATAGCCAAATAAGATTTGTACCTGTTTGTCTACCAGTAGAATATTTGATCTAACTAATAACCATATTCTGGAAGAACCATATAAATTTATTGGATGGTGCCAGCCTCCCTGTGTTAGTGGTTATGCATACATGTGCATGTATTTGTGTATATGTATATGTATATGTATATGTATTTGTGTATGCTTGCATCTGTGTGCATGTGTGCATGTGAGAGAGAGAGGGAGAGAGATTTTTTGCATCCTGTTCAGTGCTAGCACTGAAAAAAGAGTAACTAGCAAGGTATTACATGGTTGCTGCCCTCAGGGTGCTTAGCATCTAATAAAGAATTCAGAGTCACTAATGATATAATGGGGATATGTGGAGCTAGTGCATCTTATAAAGCAGGAGAATACATATTCTGGGATCGGAAAAGTGTTTCCTATAAAGTTTAAGCCAGAAAATTAAGTATCATTGGAAAAAACAGACAAACAAAGTGTGTAGGAGAGTGTTGAGGGTAGGATTAGGGGCTGTGATCATTAATACCGAGTGTCAACTTGATTGGGTTGAAAGATACAAAGTATTGATCCTGGGTGTGTCTGTGAGGGTGTTGCCAAAAGAGATTAACATTTGAGTCCCCGGGCTGCGAAGGCAGATCCACCATTAATCTGCTGGGCACAATCTAATCAGCTGACAGCGGATATAAAGCAGGCAGAAGAACATGAAAAAGAGAGACTGGCCTAGCCTCCCAGCCTACATCTTCCTCCAGTCCTGGATGCTTCCTGCCCTTGAACCTCGGACTCCAAGTTCTTCAGTTTTGGGGCTCGGACTGGCTCTTCTTGCTCCTCAGCTTGCAGACAGCCTATTGTGGGACCTTGTGATCATGTAAGTTAACACTTAATAAACTCTCCTTATCATATATATATATATATATATATATATATATAAAATCCTATATATATTAGGATGATACATATATGTATCATATATGTATATGTGCGTATATACATAGACACATATATCATATATGTGCATGTATACATATATGTATCATATGTGTGTATACATATATACATATCAGTATCACATGTATATATACATATATACATATATATATATTTATGAGAGAGGGAGAATTTTTTTGTATCCTGTTCAGTGCTATCATCCTAAAAGGACTATATATATATATATATATATATATCATGCTAATAGGATACAACACTCCCCCGTATTAGAATTATCTAAAGGGACAGAACTGATAGGATATATATATCCTACTAGATCTTATATATATCCCAATACAATATCCTATTGTATTAGGGTTCTCTATAGGGACAGAACTAATTGGATATATATATAGATATAGATATAGATATTGACATAGATATAGATATGTATATCCTATATATATAGGATATATATAACTAATAGGATATATCCTACATATATCCTATGTATATATCCTATTAGTTCTGTCCCTCTAGAGAAGCCAAACAGAGGGGGCATGTTGGGGGTAGGGAGGTTGCATGTAGAGGGCATGCTCTTGTCATGAGAGAGGACATGGTGTGTTTGAGGAATAAAAACTACTTGGAAGTACCTGTCACTTAGATTGAAGAAGATTCTGGAGATATGATGGTGGAGAAGTAGTCATGAGCCAAATTCAGAATGTGAACTCTCTTGTGAGCCATATTGAAGGGGTTCAGTCTTGTTTTAAGGGCAACAGAAGGTTCTGAGAAGATTTTGTGTAGGGAGGGACATAATCACATTCATATTTTAAACAATATTGATTGAGATGGAAGGATGAAATAGAAAGGGGCAAGATCAGACAATGAGGCATTAGTTAGGAGTTGCTGAGGAAGTTCAGAAAGATGGTGACTTGGACTAAGTTGTTAACGGTGGGCATGAATTAAAGAAGATGGAGTCAAGATGTATTTAATAGAGTCAAAGGATCTTTTCAGTAACAGTGACTAGCCTCTGTAGACTCCTAGTGCCCTTGGTGTTAGAATCTGGGCCTTACCTTTTCCTTCATAGCTGGAAAATGGTAAGTTGCTAATAGGGTTTGGCTGTGTCCCCACTCAAATATCACCTTGAATTGTAAATCCCCATGTGTCAAGGGCAGGGGCAGGTAGGGTTAATTGTATCATGGGGGCAGTTTTCCACATGCTTTTCTTGTGGTGGTGTATAAGTCTCAGGAGGTCTGATGGTTTTATACATGGGAGGTCCCCTATACAAGCTCACTTGCCTGCCACCATGTAAGACATGACTTTGCTCCTCATTTGCCTTCTGCAATGATTGTGAGGCCTCCACAGCCATGTGGAACTGTGAGTCAATTGAACAAACCTCTTTCCTTTATAAATTACCAAGTCTTGGGTATGTCTTAATTAGCAGTGTGGGAACAGACTAATACAGTAAATTGGTACCAGTTGAGTTGGGTGCTGCTGTAAAGATACCTGAAAATGTGGAATCAACTTTGGAACTGGGTAACAGGCAGAGGTTGGAGCAGTTTCGAGGGCTCAGAAGACAGGAAGATGTGGGAAAGTTTGGAACTTCCTAGAGACTTGTTGAATGGCTTTAACCAAAATGCTGATGGAGTTATGGATAATAAAGTCCAGGCTGAGGTTGTCTCAGATGGAGATAAGGAACTAGTTGCAAACTGGAGTGAAGGTCACTCTTGCTATGCAAAGAGACTGGTGACATTTTACCCCTGCTCTAGAGATCTGTGGAATTTTGAACTTGAGAGAGATGATTTAGAGTATCTAAAGGAAGAAATTTCTAAAAGGCAAAGTGTTCGAGAGGAAGCAGAGCATAAAATTTTGAAAAATTTGCAGGCTGATGAAAAGAAAAACCCATTTTCTGGGGAGAAATTCAAGTTGGCTGCAGAAATTTGCATACGTAATGAGGAGCCAAATGCTAATCACCAAGACAATGGGGAAAATGTCTCCAGGGAACGTCAAAGACTTTGAGACAGCCCCTCTCATCACAGGCCCAGAGGTCTAAAAGGAAAAAATGTTTTCCTGGGCCTGGTTCAGGGCCCCACTGCTGTGTGTAGCCTCAGGATTTGGGGCCCTGCATCCCAGTTGCTCCAGCCATAGCTAAAAGGGGCCAATGTACAGCTTGGGCAGTGGCTTCAGAGAGTGCAAGGCCCAAGCCTTGGCAGCTTCCACATGGTGTTGAGCCTGCAGGTGCACAGAAGTCAAGAATTGAGGTTTGGAAACTCTGGCCTCGATTTTGAACTATGTATGAATATGTCTGGATGTCCAGGTAGAAGAGTTTGCTGCAAGGGTGGGACCCTCATGGAGAACCTCTGCTAGCGCAGTGGAGAAGGGATATATGAGGTTGGAGCCCCCAGACAGAGTCCCCACTGGGGCACTGCCTAGGGGAGCTATGAGAATAGAGCCACCCTCCTCCAGACCCCAGAATGGTAGATCCATGACAGCTTGCCCAGTGCACCAGGAAAAGCCACAGACACTCCACATCAGCCCATAAAAGCAACTGAAAAGGGGTTGTACTCTGCAAAGCCAAGAGCCGAAGCTGCCCAAGGCTGTAGGAGCCCACCTCTTTCATCAGTGTGACCTGGATGTGAGACATGGAGTCAAAGGAGATAATTTTGAAACTTTAAGCTTTAATGACTGCCCTATTGGAATTCGGACTTTGGGCCTGTAGTCCTTTTGTTTTGTCCAATCGCTCCCATTTGAAATGGGTATATTTACCCAAGGCCTGTACCTGCATTGTATCTAGGAAGTAACTAACTTTCTTTTGACTTTACGGGATCGTAGGTGGAAGGGATTTGCCTTGTCTCAGATGAGACTTTGGACTTCGGCTTTTGGGTTAAAGCTGGAAGGAGGTAAGACTTTGGCGGACTGTTGGGAAGGCATTAATCGTTTTGAAATATGAGCACATAAGATTTGGGAGGGGCCAGGGATGGAATGATATGATTTGGCTGTGTCCCTATCCAAATCTCAACTTGAATTGTAATAACCCTCACGTGTAAATGGCGGGGCCAGGTGAAGATAATTGAACCTTAGGGGTGGTTTTGCCCACACTGTTCTTGTGGTAGTGAACAAGTCTTACAAGATCTGATGATTTTATCAATGGGAGTTCCCCTTCACAAGCTCCCTTGCCTTCTGCCATGTAAGACATGACTTTACTTCTCATTCACCTTCCATCATGATTGTGAGGCCTCCCAAGCCGTGTGGAACTGTGAGTCAATTAAACCTCTTTCCTTTATGAATTACCCAGTCCTGGGTATGTCTTTATTTGCAGCATGAGAACAGACTAATACGGCTGCCTTGTTTCCTTATTAGAATAATGGGAATAACCATAGTGCCTACTTTATTTGCTATAAACGTTAAAGGTGATAGATGTAAACAATTTAGAGCAGTCCCAGACATGTAGTGTGTGCATTTAAATATTAGATTTATCTATTCATCATGGATTAGATTTGGGGAGGTGAGAGGCATCATATATAGGACTTAGGTTTCCTGAATGCGCACTGGGTGGAAGGTACTAGTGAAGAGAAACTTTGCGAGAAATGCTAACAGTGGCACTCTGAGTGTGTGAACTTTGAGATATCAGACACACATTCAGTGGAAATGTCAACCAGTCTGATGGATATATGAGTTTATAACTTAGAATAAATCAGCAATAGAGATCTATATTAGGCATTCATCAGCATATATTTTCTATAAAGGGTGAAGGGCTAGCACCTGCAGTAGAATAAGACAGACCTGGATATAAATTATAGCTCTGTTACTTCCTAGCTGTCCTTGGGAAACTCTTTTAACCTGTCTTTTTGTTTCCAAAGTGTGAATAGCATAGTTTCAAATGAGATAAAGTATTTGAATTGATATGCAGCAATTAATATCATCAGAGTAATCTGTTTCCAGGGATATTGCCTGTTTGTCTTTGACACAGAAGCTTCTGTCATCACTAACACTGCATAGACATCAGCTAATTACTCGCAGGCAGAGCCCAACAATGCTTCGCTAACTAGCCCAGTCACTGAATTTTTGAGGCATGGCAAGATTTGCCTGCATACACAACTGGGAAATACAGGAAAACTGCATTTATGTTCCATCCTTTTCTAGACAAACTGTCCTTAAAAGTAATTGATGGTCTGGTAATATTAAGCAATCAATTTTTCTTGATACCAAACAGTGACTTGTTAAGTAACACACCATTAACTCAGCATCCCTTCTTGCCCAGTCTTACTTTTTCTCAGCCTTCTGGAAAGTTTTGGCATGACATGTTTTTCCTAAATGTCCCCAGTATGGGGTTTTGTCACAAGATAATACAATAATCCAATGGCAATAGGGATATGGTTGCCTGTGTTAAGTGGGGTGGTCATAACTGTAGTGGTGTCATAATCACTAAGAATTTTACCAATGGCTAACTGTTAAAGGTGCGTCTATGATCATGGGTGGTAATAAAGATCAAAATGGAATGGGTCAATAATAACAATGGTTTTGTTGGGAGGCAGAGGTGGGTGGATCACTGGAGGACCACTTCGTGACCAGCCTGGGCAACATAATTAGACCCCATCTCTACTAAAAATACAAAAAAAAAAAAAAAGAAATAGCTGGGTGTAGTGGTTCACTCCTACAGTCCCAGCTACTCGGGAGGCTGAGGTAGGAGCATCTCTTGAAACTGAGAGGTGGAGGTTGCAGTAAGCCAAGATTGTACCACTGCACTCCAGCCTAGACAACAGAGCAAGACTTAGTCTCAAAAATAATAATAATAATAGTGATAATGATTTTGAAATGCACTGATCTCCATTAATGCCATGTTAAAAAGAAAATGGGAGCCAAGTGCTCACAGCACACTGTGTATGCCAGAGGGCTGCTGTGGCAATGCTAAAAGAGACTCTAAAGTCCTTCAGTTGCATTTGAGCTGTGCTCAAAATAAGGCTCAGGATCTAACTATAACAGAGGCAGAACTGCAAAGATGTTTGAAAGAACAATCTCAAACCATCTCCTACACCAAGATTAGAACCTTTAAAGGAAATGAGTCAGACCCAGGGACTTGGAATGTCTGATGTTCTATTGCTTTAAAAAAAAAATGCCTTGGGACATAAGTTGCTACACAGACTTCTCCAATGAAATGTGGGCTTCTTGTACAGATAGAATTTAGGATCAGTCTTTGAGGCTTTTCCAACTCCAGGAGGGATAGCTCTTTCCCTGTTTCTTTTTTTTTTTTTTTTTTTTTTTTTTTCAGAATTTCGCTCTTGTTGCCCAGGCTGGAGTGCAATGGCATATCTCGGCTCACCGCAAATTCTGCCTCCCTGGTTGAAGCAATTCTCCTGCTTCAGCCTCCCAAGTACCTGGGATTACAGGCATGTGCCACCATGCCCAGCTAATTTTGTATTTTTAGTAGAGATGGGGTTTCTCCAGGTTGGTCAGGCTGGTCTCGAACTCTCGACCTCAGGTGATCCGCCTGCCTCAGCCTCCCAAAGTGCTGGGATTACAGGCATGAATCCAGTCTTAAACTTTAAGTTTCAAGTGGCCCTATGTTTCTCCATCTTAAACTTTAAGCTCTCTAAAGCTTTTAGGCTAGCCGCAGTGGCTCACACCTGTAATTCCAGTACTTTGGGAGGCCAAGGTGGGAGTATCACCTGAGGTCAGGACTTCGAGACCATCCTGGCCAGCCTGGAGAAAGCCCACCCCTACTAAAAATACAAAAAATAGCCTGGTATGTTGGCATGAGCCTGTAGTCCCAGCTACCCAGGTGACTGAGGCAGAAGAATTGCTTGAACTGGCTGGTAGAGGTTGCAGTGAGCCAAGAATGTGCCATTGCACTCCAGTCTGGGTGACAGAGTGAGACTTCATGAATGAAAAGAAAGAAAAAGAAAGAAAGAAGAGAAAAGAAAGAAAGAAAAGAAAGAAGAAAGAAAGAGAAAGAATAAGAAAGAGAGAAAGAAAGTAAGAGACAGAGAGAAGGAAGGAAGGAAGGAAAGAAGGAAGGGAGGGAGGGAGGGAAGGAAGGTGGGAAGGAAGGGGAAAGAAAGAAAGAGAGAGAAAGAGACAGAGAGAGGAAAGGAAGGAGAAAAAGAAAGAGACAAAGAAAGAGAGAAAAAAGAAATAGAGAAAGGAAGGAAGGAAAAAAGGAAGGAAGGAAGGAGAAAGAGATGAAGAAAGGAAAGAAGGAAGGAAGGAAAGAAAGAGAGAAAGAAAGAAAGAAAGAAAGAAAGAAAGAAAGAAAGAAAGAAAGAAAGAAAGAAAGAAAGAAAGCTGTCTAAAGATTAATTTATTGCCCTCATGAAGTTACCGGATCCCTAATTGCTTGCCACCAGTGTTTTCATATTTTCAACAGCAGTCTTCGGTTTAAACTTCCTCAAAGTCTATGTAGAGTAACGTCAATCCCTTTGAGGGGAACTTTGGCGTTCTTTTACAGCTTGCCTCTCTCCCTGGGAAGAACATTGTGCCACTCTTCTGGAGTAGGGATAGGAGACAGTGGCCTACTTCCCTCAGAATCATATCTTTACCAGCAGAGGCCTGGATGGGGTTTGCAGACTCTGGTCTTGGCTTCCCTTGCCAGTGTGAATCTCCACCTTACAAATGAGCAGGACACAGATGACTGGGGATAGCATGTTGACGAGAGCCCCAGACTCAAGACTCCTTAGCTTTGGCCTGGAATAGAACTTCTGCAACACAAATGTGGGGAGAAAAATGTGGGAAGGTTGTAAAATATTGGTGGACTGACTTTCCCAGGGACATAGCCTTTGACCAGGAGCTGCAGAAAGAGAGAGCCTCATGTCCATGTTGGTTCTTGCCTGGAATGGAGTTTCCATTTTTCTGAGATGAAAGGGAAGGGGGAGGAGTGGATTGTGATTAAAATGCTATGGACTCCCCGTTCTTATGAAAATTTAGATCTTTTTGAATAACATTTTCTTCTTCTTTTGCTGTATCCCTTTAGGACAATTTCCAGAAACTTTATTTAATTTTTATTTTATTCTTTAAAAAACAATTATGCTGGTTGTTTCGTTGGGGAGTGTACCACTGGAGGTCTTCATATGGCATTAAGAAAGTCATCTTGTACCTTGCATTTTCTGGATGTGTGATGGTGGCATCAACATTAATTTGAACTAAAACTTCTGTATCACTTTGTCTTTTTTTTTTTTTCTTTGAGATGGAGTCCCACTCTGTGGCCCATGCTGGAGTGCAGTGGCATGATCTCTGCTCACTGCAACCTCTGCCTCCCAGGTTCAGGTGATTCTCCTGCCTCAGCCTCCTGAGTAGCAGGGATTACGGGTGTGCGCCACCATGACCGGCTAATTTTTATATTTTTAGTAGAGACAGGGTTTTGTCATGTTGGCCAGGCTGGTCTCAAACTCCTGACCTCAGGAGATCCACCCTAGTCGGCCTCCCAAAGTGCTGGGATTACAGGTGTGAGCCACCGCACCCGGCCCACTTTGTCTTATTAGTGCTCTTATTGCTGCTTTTGATGCTTCAGGAATTTTCTTAAGTAATTACATTTCTTACTTTGTTTCTTTTTTTCTGTTACCTCTACATTTACTCTGCAGGCTCTAACTGCACCATGTGTACCTCCCAGGGGCTAGAATAGGTCCGGCTGACTGCTGACCCAATAACAACTTCATTCTGACCATTATGACTTTTCAATGAGGTTGACTCCTCAGAGTGTATTCTGCCTGCATCGTAATCAGTCTATTTTAATGTTAGTTTGCTCTCTTAGAGCTCTTAGAGGCCCTATTATCCTTGGTCATTAGTCAGGGAAATAGTAAACAGTTTCAGGCAGAGGGCCATTCCGAAGTTTGTCCCTTTAGAGAGCATATTCTTCATTTGTCTAAGGTCTCTTCGTGACCACTTCTTTTAAACTTTCCTCTTTAAGTTTTGTCTGATGGAGTTCGAATACGTATTTGCATACATCAAAGGCTGAGTATATCATAATAAACCACACTTTCAATTATCAATCCCATCCTCTTGCTATTATGAGTCATATATTATACTTTTTATTTAAAGTTAATGTATCATTATTCACAGTAATTAATGCTACATTAAATGGTGTGATAATTGCTATGACTAATTAGTTGATAACTTAATGGTTTAGAACAGTCACCAACTGATAGACCTACCATTTTGCCAAATTTTGCCATTTTGTGATGCCACATGGGGTTCCTGAAAAATCAATAGCTCTAGAGATTGTATAGCTCAGAGTGCAAAGGTAATGCCTGCCAAATTTGAATATGCTCAACATTGAGACTAATCAATATTTGGAACGATTGCATCTTTTGTCAGACTCTCTTTTATTATTTTTGTATTTCTTAGTTAAATTGTCTCATACATTTACATTATCTTCAATGCAGTGTTTGTCTCTCCTAACATAGAGCCACCCAAAATATTTTCCTTTCCTCATGCTTTTATGACCATCAACTGAAAAGACTTAACTTACACTTTTTGTCAGCTTATCCAAAAAAGTTCTTTAATGAAAGGTTTATGAATTTAAATAAGTTAGTAGGGAATTTTAAAAATGAGTTTAGAACTTTAGCAAGGACTTCCTCTAAAATGTCTTGGAATAGTAGCTAGGATTATTATATTCTTTATTTTAATCACTCATATTTGCTAAAATCTATAGGTTAATCCTTTTTAAGAATAAGTGTACACTTTAAAAAGATGGCAGAATGGCATTCTCTGATTCTGGTTCCCAGAGGGCATTGTCTAGGAGTTGAACACTGGGACAGAGTATGGCCAGTCATCTCTCGCTGACTTATGGCTTGCATTTACTGACACTCCACTTTTTTTGGACTGGTTTTACTCTTAGGGTATTTCTCCTTCTTTTTCATCTCTGAAGAACTCTACTTTTGTATACACAGTCTCAGGTTCAGAGGCACCACTGACTGTGCTCCTCATGTTCTGATGACAAGTTGTCTGAACTGTCCCAGATAGACATGTTAATCAGACTGGCCTCATCATCTGTACTGGCCCATTCCAGACCCCTACTTATTCTTTTATTTTTTTTTTTTGAGATGGAGTTTCACTCTTGTCACCCAGGCTGGAGTGCAATGGCACATTCTCAGCTCACTGCAAACTCTGCCTCCCGGGTTCAAGTGATTCTCCTGCCTCAGCCTCCTGAGTAGCTGAGATAACAGGCACCCGCCACCATGCCTGGCTAATTTTTGTATTTTTAGTAGAGACGAGGTTTCACCATGTTGGCCAGGCTGGTCTTGAACTCTTGACCTCAGATGATCCACCTGTCTCAGCCTTCCAAAGTGCTGGGATTACAGGCGTGAGCCTCTGTGACCGGCCACCCCTACTTATTCTAAATAAAATGTGGGCTGTTATAAATTTTAATTTCTAGCTTAAATGTCCTTTGTACCATCTTCAGAAATATCCTGCATCAATGACTGTAGAGAGCAAAGGGACAAAGTAGAATGATAAAAATGCTTGTTATGACTTCTGAATTCTAATACTAGTTTGGCCACTTACTTTCATGTCAATGTGGGAGAACTTTGTATCTCATATTATCCTTTCAACATCTGTGAGGATCTCAGAGAGGAGTTGGAAAAATTAAATCTGAAAGTGCATGTGTGCATGACACAGTTATTAGGACATTTTTATTATATATTGTTTTCTAGTAAATTTTTATCTTATAGAGATGGGCTCTTACTGTGTTGGCCAGGCTGGTCTCAAACGCCTGACCTCAAGCCCTTCTCTTGCTTCCGCCTCCCAAAATGTTGGAATTACAGGCACGAGCCAGTACAATTTTTTGATGGAATGAAGTTTAGTTAGTCTGCACAGTGAAAACTGTAATGTTAATAATGAGCCAAACCAATTTCTTAGTAAGGCAACAGGCCTTTTTAACTATGCAAATTAATAAGCAGGTAAAATGCACAATAAACATCAATAGCCCAAGACAAGTTATAGAAAAATCATATTTAGAAACTAAGAACTAGAATAATAATAATTGAAAAAAAAGTTCTAGAATGAAAGCATAAGCACAAAAAAATTGGAGAAAAAATAAAAACATGATTAACAATTAAATGGAGACAAGCAACTGATGAACTTAACTCATCCTTCCACCACTAGCAGTGATTTACTAAAAATTCCATGGTCAAAAAAAAATATTAAGAATTAACCACAGTGCCTGTGTGCTGAATCATGCACAAAAACAAATCAAAACTCGAACAGACGGCTATGCTTGGGTTCTGGCACGCTGATTGTATCCAAAGGACAAGGTAGAGTGTATATTTTGTATATTTTGACCTAGACTCCTTCAACAGAAGGAGAACAGAAACACAAATACAAGAAACAGAAACACAAGTATGAAACGAATTCCATACTCAACACAGTAGAAGGCCTCTTATCAAGAGCAGGGTCTTTTTGTGCTGTTGTTATTGCTAAGATGGCTTTTAAAAATTACTTTTCCTCCTTAAGATTTTTGTGATTCTGAGTATTGTTTTCAGTCAAAGTTAATAGACAAAACTCCAAACTAATTAAGAATCCTTAATTTTGGTAATTCAATGGTATTATTGATAATAGGCATGTATTTCTCCTTCCCAGAAAAAGGCTAAATATTCCTTTGTGGATGTTACCCTAGTCTGTCATTACATTGGGCTTCCAAAAAGCTTTCTGACATGTCTTTAATCTTCTTATGTATATATAATAAGCTTATTTTTTGAGAAAGAAAACTAAATGTATCAAAAGCCTTTTATTTCACATTTATGTCCTGTCAACTAAAAGAGAAAAATAGTTCAGTGTTTCCAATTAGTTTTGCAGTAAAAACATTGGGAGAAAAATGCAATAAAATATATTAATTTAATTTTAACATAAAATTACATAAACATTTCCAAATAATGTGGTATTCCTCAAAAGCTTTTAACATTGTTATTTTATGTAACCATTTTGTATTTCCTTTGCTGTTTCCTTTTAAATATCCTTTTACGTTTTATTCTTTACTTTTTATTTATTCATAAGCTCAATACTTCCTTTGTCTGGTATCTTTACTCGGAAATATTCAAAATATATTTAAAGACACACTGTAATTATAGACATTCATAGACAAATATGAAAATATCAGATCACACACAACTGTCACAAGTGCATTATATTACTACTAAGCTGTGTTAGTTTTTGCATTTATAGGGATTAAATAGTATTATTTCACAAGAAGATAAAAGGTAAAATAGAATAATTGATGTTTTGAAATACCAAATCCAAAAAAAAGACAGAAAAGGAATTCTAACTTATGTATTATACTGTTACACACACAATTTGTTACCAGTTAATAGTCAAGGCACTGTTATAATAACTGTGCTAAATTTATGTGAGTTTCTATTTGAGTATGTTCATGATACTTACATTCCAAGAGAGTATGGCATATTCTTGGCCACCCAAAAAGGTGATTTTCCATGTGGTCTTGTGGCATTATGGAAACAAGCACAATAGAATGTTCTTCTTCAATCAAAACAACTTTATTTGGGCAGAAGCCCAGTCACAAAGACCCAAAAGGGTCTTGTTCAAGTCTAAGAGTATACATTTGATACAAGTTTTAGCAGCGTTTCTGCTCTCTCTCAATGCCATGAGTGTGTACTCAATGCTATTAGTGTCTTTTTTTTTTTTTTTTTTCTTTTGAGACTGAGTCTCACTGTTTCCCAAGCTGTAGTGCAGTGGTGCGATCTCAGCTCACTGCAACCTCTGCCTCCTGGGTTCAAATGATTCTCCTGCCTCAACCTCCTGAGTAGCTGGGATTACAGGTGCATGCTACCATGCCCAGCTAATTTTTGTGTTTTTAGTAGAGACGAGAATGAGATCCCGTCTTATGTGGAAATAAGATTACTATCTCCTTACAAGATATCTGGGGGAATCAGTCACTCAAGGGCCATTCTTTTTGATGCTCTTAGCTAAAATTCATACTATTTGAATATATTCTAACTCCTTGCATGTTATTCTGACTTACAGTATTGGTGCTATACTGAGAATTAGAAAAAGTTCCACCTCACTCCTTGAATGTTGAGTTTGACATAAAGATTAGTAAAAGACACCAGTGTCAATTAATTATAGCTGTGAAACAAACCACCTGGGAGTTTAGGGCTTAAAAATACACCCAATATCCTGTGATTCTGTGGATTGGCTGGGAAATTCCTCAGCTGGTTAACCTGGCTTTCTTCTTGAGAAGGCATTTAACTGGCCTTCAACTGGGCTGAAGTTCAAGCTGGAACTTGAAAGCTCCAGATGGAACTTCTGGGAAGTTCAAGATGGTCTTTTTCAGCTCTCACAATTGGTGCTGGCTGTTGCCCAAGGCAGCTGGCTTCACCTTCATGTAGCCTCTCTTCTCCAACTGCCTAAACTGGCTTCCATATATGGTGATTTTCCATGTATGGTAATTCAGGAGGGCAAGGTGAAAAATTGCAAAATCTCTGTGGCCCAAGTCCTTGAACTCACAAAATGTCACCTTTGCCACGTTCTAAATTGGCCAAAGCAATATACAAGCCCGTCAAGATTCAAGGTCGGAGAAATGGATTTTCCTTTTAATTTGAAAAACAGTAAAATTGTGTTGCCACATTTTAAAATGTTTAACAAACCCCTCTGGGATGACACAGCACTGTGGACTACATTTCATTTCCAAAAAGAGTTTCCTCCCTACAATACACTCATCTGTACAGCAGAATAAAAAATGAAAAGTGGAGTGAGGATGAGCTTCGGTCCTGACTGCCCTCTGGGCTAGACATCTTCATTCAAATGTACAACCTACACAATTGTAAGTAATGGCTCAGATTGCCTTTTAAATTAATTCATGAGAGTCTTGATGGATAGCGTTAAAGGAAGACATTTTCATCCGGGGCACAGCTAGAGAACAAGATAACTCTAACACAAAGCATCTGGGTATAAGAGAAATGATAAATTAGCCTTATTTTGTGCTAATCAAATAATATTTGAAATAATATTGTATATATTTATAGGTGTCAAATTTTCTTTACATGTTCAAAGTAGAGAATGAAAGGGCATTCAAACTATGATATATATTAAACAATTTAAAGAATTGAGGCTGTTAAATCTCATAAAAAAGAAGCTGAAATGCTATGTAATATGACTCCACCTACATAAAATATTGTCCTTAGGAAAAGTGATTAGACTAATCTGTGTAGGACCACAGTTTACTAGGAAATGCAAGGTGACTATATGTACAGTATTCCTTAGGAACCCTGATTTTTAAAATTTATTTTAATTTAAAAATTTTTATTATATACCAACAAATTATAATTGGGTATATTTTGGGGGTACGAAGTAATATTATAATTTTTAAATACAATGTGGAAAGCTTGTCACATGGCATAAGATTTATAAAATTATTTGACAATTATTTGGGGAAGGTGGAAGTTTCTCAACACTGTCACATCAATAATTCAAAAAATAAAATCATTTGTTATGAAAGAGGGACGAAAAATAAATGTATAATACTGTATATTTCTACATGCAACAAATTTCTCTAGAAAAGTTAGTAAGCATCTGTTATTGTTAAATTTACAGAGAAAAAACTGTGTCTTGGAGACAGGGAAGAGACGAAGAAGTAGTTTTCACGTATACTCTTTAGAAACTTGAATTTTTGTATTTTGTTAATGCCTAAACATGTATTATCTAAGGCCACACATGTATTAACATGGTGCTGAGATTCTATGGTAGGGAGCAAAGAACATTTGCAATGCATTTTGCAAAGTATTTTATCTCTTGCATTTCCCAATGTATACCTATCCAACTCACAAGCAAACCAACTTCATGTTTCTTTTATTTAAGAAAAAAAGAGATATTTGCCAGCACGCAAAAGAACATGAACTGAAATCCCCCCAGCATCAGCGAATGGTGTAAAGTTTCTGCTGAGTCATTGCATTCTCTAATTCCATCTTAAGAATTTTGGCCCAGGTGGAAACCCAGTGGGCATTCATGGGGTAATATTTTTCTGGACCTAAAGCTAATTGGCATGTATGCAGCTTTACTTTGACCCTGGCCTCATTAGAACCAATCTCTAACCACTTTCGTGGGTTGGGTAGTGCTTAGTAAGTGGAACTCTCACTTGTAATGCAGAGTTAAGGTAAAGCAATAACAAATTCTTGACTTTAAGATGGAAAAAAATGGTAAAACCTTAGGATAGGATAGGTTTTCCCAATTGAAAATTATTTCCATTATTAGTTCAATTAGACATTGAAAGAAGAAAAAAAGTCAAATCTCAAAGGCTGCCCTGAAAAAAGATAGGAGAAAATCGAAATTCTCTACTTAGCACCCACTCCAAGGATATATTAGAATTCATTTTGAAAAGTTTGAATTTCAACTTTCTTTTCTAGATTGCTTAATAATCCAGATTTACTCTTTGTTTTTAATCAACTAACTCAGTATCTGCTTACTGATCAAATAGATGTTATAAATAAACTGACAACAATAGAGATAAAAATGCCATTCATGCTAACAAATTACATGCTCTACTGTGAATGTTGATGACCACATATCATCACACTTTCTAAATATACAAATTATTTCTGCAAAGGATGAAGCTGCTTACACATGCATGCCACAAATTCAACAGAATATCTCAGTTGCCATGATTACTATAGTCAATACATACAGATTTGTGAAGATTGAGAAACACCATTTTTATAATGTTCACCCATTAGAGTTCAGAATCTGGTGAATCAAACCCACTGACTCTTTAGGAAAGGCTGAGAACTGTAAAGTAGAACATTAAAACAATAATCACAGGGATAGAATTTGGGCACATTTTATCTAAGTCTTTTTCCTGTGTGTACATGTATATATGTAAGCTGGTAATAGTGGGTAGTGGCAGCAGTAGTGGCCTCATACTTTCACTCAATTGTATTAAGTAGTAGTAGCTTCATACTTTCACTCAATTGTATTAAGTATCTTATACTTGCCACTCACAGTACTAAGCAGGTAGGGAAATAGCAGCAGATACTTTAGCCATGTTATTTGCCCTTGCAGAGCTTACAATGTAAACATTTATTATGATAGAAGATCCTTAAAAGAGTTATATATCTCTAGATTCAAACATTAAAACTATGCCCAATGGCAAAGAATACGGACATCAGAAGGACAGACATCAGCCTGGAGCTTTACGTTATACAGTACCAATTCCACGACAGTCCTGGTTTTGAGTCCTAGAAGTGCTATTTAGCATCTCCGTGAAATTGAAGCTCTTTCCTCTCTAAGACTTGGTTATGTTATATAAATAATAATAGAATTGACTTGAAAGAAATGTTGTGATTAAATGAGATAAAATATGTAAAATACTTATATTAGTATACGGTTGAATAAATATTAGTATTTTCTATCATATTGCACAATAATCACAAACATCATTTTAAAAGTTTTATATCATTACCTTAAGTGAACACACCATAAATTGCTCAACTATCCCTTTATTATTAATTTCCCAAATGCTTGCAATTCTATGTAACTCTTTGATGAAAATTTGTCTACCATTTGATTATTTCTGTGAACATACAGAATCTCTTAAGATTGCATATTGCCCTGTAGAAAGTGTAGGTGTGTACGGATGCCTTATTTTCACCAGTTTTGATGATTCCTGTTGTTAACCTCTTCTTTCCCACATCTCATCCTTAGGTTGACAAAATTACATTCCCGATAATCAAACAATGGCATACCAATCAACATCAGTTAGTGCACTGCTCTGCTCATTTTATTTAATTACTGTATTTATTTACTCTCATCTGCCTCTCCTCCCTAAAAACCAGTCATTTAGTATGTACTAGATAAATACATCCCCTTAAAAAATTCCCTGAAAACATATAGTATGTACTGTTTTGTGCTTTGTTATTTTGTCATGCAACATCTTTTGAGATTTAGGTATATTGCAGTATTTCCAACTAGTTCATAGCTTCTGACTGCTTCATATTCAATTATGGATATGTACCATGTTGAACCTGGCGGTTCCTCTGGCTAAAGACGCTGAGGTTGCCCCCAACTCTCTCTCTCCACTATGCTTTGACAAAAGACTCATGGAAAATATTTTTCTGGTGTAAATACCTAGTATTGGGATTGCTAAATTCTAGGGTTTTACATCTAATCTCATTAAGTTCTCAAGAGTGGATACAGTATTTTGTATCGTGACCAACAGGATTCTTGTTTGTCCATATTCTCAGCAACACGCTGTTTCTAAATATTGAAAAATAGAAAAATGTAAAGTGGGTGGGCTAAATTTTCAAATTTCTTCATTACTTGTGAAGTTAGGCATCATTTTTTTTCCTTTTCATTTAGGTTTCTGTCACTGTAATCAACTTCTCATCCATTATCTGTTTTGTTATTGGGTTTCCTGACTTCTTACTGTTGATTCAGGATTTCTTGGTATATTTTAACTATTACATCCTTACTACTTTCAGATGTCACAATCATTTCTCTTATTCTCATTCTTTTAAAATTTTATAGCATACTGGGTTGAAAATAAAACTCTAATCAAAATATTTTCTCTCTCTCCGGTTGTGTATATGTCCCTGATTTTTTGTTTGCTTTATAGTTTCAGCTTTTCATTTCAGGTCATAAATTTTTGAACTTTTTCCTGTGTCTGTGTTAGAAGTCAGACTTTTTTCTCCCCTTAGATGAAGCCAGTTTTCTCATCATTACCATTAATTTGTCCTTGCTCCACCCTGATCAGTGATCTTATACAAATCTCCATGCATACCATTCTGTTCTAGGCTTTCTCTTCAGCTCCATTATCTGTATGTTTCTTCCTTTGTTTATCTAACACTGTTTTTATTCCACAGCTATGCATCATGTCTCCTATCTGGAAGGAAAGTTCTTCTGATTTGTTCTTATTTCCAGCTTATGTGTCTGTTATTTTTTTATAAAACTTCAAATTCAGTTTGCCAAGATCTCTAAAATACCTTGCTAGATTTGGAATAGATTTGATTGACTAAATAAATTAAAATAGACAAAATTAACACTTTAAAATTAATACCATCTGTTAACATTTGTCTTTTATAAGAGTTTTAAATGTTTCTCAATAAAGGTCTTGTGTCTTCCTTCTTTGTTTAATTCATAAATATAACCTACAGTAGGAATCCAAACTGTTAAATTATATTTTCTAATGTTCATGGTATATAAAAACTGTGCCAACATAATTTAATCTTCTGTCCAGCAAGTTTCCTGTACTGGCTTATTTGAAACATTTTTTGCGTCAGGTCTCTTAGAGGCGTGAGTGGTTATATCACTTAAAAGAATAACTCTTTGATCTTCGTCTTTATATTTTGGTATCTCTTTATTCTTGGAATAACTCCAGGACAATGATCATCAGATCATTTTAAATCTAATTTGATAGTACTTTATTTAGAATTTTCACATCTATTATAGTAAATGGGACTATAGCCTTATACTATCTTTATCCAATATTCGAATGAAGGTCATAAAACCACATATAATGTATATGAGATTATCTTAGCTTGGGTTTCCCCAAAAGCAGAGCTTGAGACAAGGAGGGGATTTAGGTGGCATGCTGAAGTGACCTCAGGGTGGGGAGAGTGAGAGAAGAGGAAGAAAAGCCAAAGGAAAAGGGTTTGTTTCAAAGATGCTGCTGTAGGAAATGTGGACTAATTCTCTTGTAGGCCCCCTGAGAGTTATACAGAATACCTTCCAGAAATATCTGACTGTAGGGTCGTCAGGTGAGGTTCCTCTCTGCCAGATCCTTTCTTTCACGGATTTAGGTTTGGTTCTGAGGGCTGCAACTTTCCAACGCTTCTGGGCTGCATTTGTGTGTAGATCCCCACATCAGAAAGCAAAAATATGGGGTGAGTCCCTGAGTTGGGAGGTAGGAGTTGAGTCTGAGCTTGAATAAAACTATCCAACATCTGCCACTGATACCAGAGATCAGCTAAGGGAATGCGATATGAGACCAGACGTGTTTGCTAGAGTCTACTCCTTGTACCAAGACCTGCTTGTGTCCATTCTCATTTGCTATGTTACTGAGTCTTCAAACTTGAAATCAGCCTTAACACCTATTAAGGACAAAATGAAGGCCAATTTGTAACAAGCTGCAATCTATACTTCTGCAATGGACTTTGGGCCCTAATTTACACAGATCATCTTTCTCTTCTATTATTAATTCTAGACCTCCACTAACTTTCACTAGCACTTCTGCTGACCTAGGTGGCTTTCCAGGTTGGGACTGCCATGACCTTCCACCCTGAGAAGTCTGAATTCTTGCTCTCATTAGTGGGTGTTGCTGCAGATGCTGATTCATCATTATGAAAGACATCTGTATCACCAACAGAGAATCAGTGTGACAACTATGTATACTTCGTATGCTATTTTCCAACATGATTTCCACTTAAAGTGTGAGAATTTTCTTGTTATAAAATTTGTTTAGAAAACAGTATACTTAATACCAGCTTATAACATTTACATGAGCCATAATTTAATGAATATTTTTGATATTTCAAATTTAAAATTTTATTACTATAATAAATATTTTGATAAATAAACATTTGTATTTATTTTCTTAGGACAAAAATGAATATTTTATTGTGGAAGTATTGGGTCAAAGAAAATGGACATTTTTATAATTTTTAATATATATTGCAAATATATATCTTTCCAGATTATAAGGAAGATCCCTTGAAATGTGGGTCTTTTAAATAAGTAAATAAATAAATTTGACAAGCCAGAACAAAGGAAAGTGGTATACATTGTAAAAATGATTTTAATAGCTAATTTATTCCTAGAAGTAGATAGATAGATGGATGGATAGATAGATAGATAGATAGATAGATAGATAGATAGATAGATAGCCATAAACTTATTTTTTTCTTTTGGCAACAGAAGATGCACACAGAACTTACTAATTCTGAAATCCAGTAAGATCTGAAGTCCAATGAAGCCTTAACTTGACACAAATATGAATCTGTATTGATGACCATCACTGCATTGACTTGGCATTAAAGGTTAAATTTACTCCTTTACCACTTCTCATGGATTTTCATGAAAAAGAATACGAGCTAGAAGGACCAGAAGAGGAATTTCAGTTTGCCTTATTAAATTTCCAAGTCTAAAAGTTATTTCCTATTGTCTCTTAATTTTATATCAATGTTATAGGTGAAACAAAATGCTATTTTAAAAAGTAACAATAAAGCAGAAATCTTCACAGTAGTGAAAGCTGCAGTTGCATCCTCCTCAATTTAGTCCCCAAGGTCATGCCTATTACATATTCACATAAAATATGAAAAAATGTCAATTACAAATGTTTCCAAGTATTTATTTTCACTTACTGATTTTTTTCCCATTTTCGTTGGAACACTTTGGAATTTTACAGGCACAAAGACCCAGAATTAATTCGACAGATCTAACTTCAGTCTAAATGTCAATGCTAATTTGAAAAATGCTCCCTTTATATATGTTTTGAAACAATAGTAATTTAAGATCAATCCTTCTTGGTCTTTTCAAAAAACCTCTAAGTGTTCCTCTCTCTGTCACTTGGTCAATCAATACATATTGTCATTTGTAAAATCTAAAGCTTTTTAAAAAGCACCTTCCAATACTTCTTGATAATTGTTACAGACAAGAAAAACAAGTATTAAGTGACATGGGTATTTTCATAAAGCTGGGTAGATATAAAAACAAGACTAAAGTATGATCTTCTAGTATCTTTCTATATTTCCCAGGCTATTTTTAAATTTCAATTGGAACAGTGCTATTACAATACATTTGACAAAAACAAGTGCTGCTCAAGACATTCTAAAGAGGCATAAAAAACTACTTTCACTGAATTTTCTAACTATCATACTTCATTATCATCAGAAAAGATATTTTCTACCTCAGTTTAAAATCAGTGGCAATAAACTTCTGTTCAATGGTTTATATTGTAAGCTTGATTTTAATGGTCTATAAAAGAAGGAAACATGTCAATAATGCTTAACATTCTCAAATGTACTTTTGACAATAGTATATTCAATATCTACTTTAATATCCTTAAAGTATTCTATTTTAAGGATCAAAATGACAAATTCCATAAATAATTTAATGAATGAAGAAGGATTATTCTTCAAAATACTTTTAGTCTTCTAATTAACAATTTTCTAAATGACCATCATATTCTCCCATTGTCTTGATGTCTGGGAAGAAATAATATTTTTTAAGTGTCCAAGTAGAATTTTGTCCTTAGGCACAGGTTCAGTCAGCTATGACTATAGGTGAAATCCACCTGTCTGTTTTTGTAAATAAAGTTTTATAAACCCCGCCATGTCCTTTTGTTTATGCATGATCTGTGGCTGCTTTAGTGCTACCACTACTGAGTAGTGAAGACAGAGAACGTATACCTGGAAAAGTAGAACATATTTACTATCTATCTTTTTACAAAGTTTGCCAATCACAGCTCTATTTTTTTCCCCTAAAATTTGCCTCATAGTTGATTTCATTTTATACTGGCATATGTTTATGAAAGTAGTCTTAAATTAAGGTCAGCCTAAAACATTTTTATATAATAGAGACAAATTTTAAGTAAACAGAAATACTAAATTTGATTTCTTGTTTAAAAGCTGTTCAGATACTCTCTAATTATGTTCCCCATAATACTGAGAGGATATTTGCTTCATGAAAATATTGAACAATACATTAATAATGGGAGCATCAGCATACTTGGAAGACCCAGGAGTGGATACCTTCCCCTGGCCAAGGATGACTGCTGGTGAAGTTGGCTTTTTAAAAGCCTTCCTGAATTTAGAAGTGGTGATGGGTTCTTAGAGCTGGAAGATAAGGAGTAAGTGACATTTAACTGCCAGAGACAAGATGGTCAAGATTACTGAAGTGGACCATGGGACTGCAGCAGTAATCACAAAAATTTGACCACAGAGCTCGTTGGTAACTAAAATTCATCATGATATCCCTGAGCTAAAATTAATGTGCAGTGTATAAAATTCCTAATTGATCAGTCTAAGTAAAAAAATTAAAAAGACGCTGTCTTAAATTGCAAAATCTAATTTTCCTAATACATAAAGAGATCCTGAATAAGGAAAAGTCATTAAAAATGGCAAAATATACTTTCAAACAGTTCATAACAAAGGAAATGCAAATAGCTGGCCATTTATAAAGCTCCTTGTCAATTATTACAAGTTGTTCTCAGAGCTGTAAGGGCTTCACAGTGTTTTATTAATATTTCATTTTTAATTAGGTTGATATTCACTTGCTTTTGTGCTATTCACTGATTGATCGAGAAAGTTTGATGGAGGATAAATTCAATTAAAAAATCAAAGTATAGTGGACTATGTATTCACAAAGCAAATAATTATGCTTACACTCCTTTATCTGTATGAAAACCTTTGTTCTGATAATGAGCTCTACCTAACAGCTGAAATAATGCTTTTGTTATTAGGGATAACGGAAAAATCTATCAAAAAGATTCAGGGCATACAAAGAAGTATACAGTGATTAGTAAATCATTGCTTCCTAATACGTAATTTTCAGTTAATTATGTTGAAATTTTACCAAAAAAAATCAATAATCACACCTTCTCCCAGGTTTTGAACTAATAATGCAAAAGGAGTGGTATAGAGAGACCCCAAAAAACTGTCAATACTCTTAAGACTAGAACAGAGAATGTAGTCATATCTGTGTGCAAGAGTGATCAAACTTGGGCATTAGAGAAACTTCACTACCCAGTCCTAAGGTAGTTGTAGAATAAGACACCTCTCTGCCCTGGGGAAAACCTTATCCTAGACCTACAGAAAGGAAGATACTTGGCTGGAACAGAATCCAAGAAGAACTAAAAATGCCCAGTTAATTCTGCCTTCCAAATTCGTCAGTCAGACAAGTCACTCTTCTTCCCCCTCAAGGCCACTCCTGAAATACCAAACATGGCCCCTCAGAAAATGGTGAGCAGCTTAGATTTTGTTCCTGGAACTGTCTGATATGGGTCAATAAAGTGAATTAATTAAATCTACTCAAAGGCACCATGTAACCAAATTTAATGCTTATTTTCTCGTTTTATTTTCTATCCCAGATAATATTGGCACATTTCAGCATCTCAAAGCAGATTTTTGCAAGACGGTAAATGACAACACAAGATATTTCAATAAAATGCCTACATGTTGAAAGACCCTCCAACGGAAAATATACCAAGAGCAGAGCTACCTGAAATATAATCTTATTTCATTGACATACACTCCCTGGGAGAAAGTAAAGTCCAAATTTTATGTTTCTTGAAATTAGACTTAAGCATTATATCACAATATTTTTTCACCTTTAGAATTAGAAATCCAAAGAAAAGTCCTCCCTCCCACCTTATTTTCTGTCAGTCTCAGCTGGAGGTATGCTTGGGGTTTGGACAGTTTCAAGAATTTTTAATAACTGCAGAACCACCTGTCTCTTGCACTAAAAGGACTAGCTCCCTTAATATCAGAAGCTAAATTTATAACAGGTAGCCTCTTTTTAGAGAGTTCAAATGGTAAACAGGAAACAAGATTATTACCACACTGGTCTCATATATATCCAACTTAGAAAAGTCACCAGCTGCCTGAAGTTGATACTTGAGGCTAAAGTGTGTTTCCATAATACCCAGTACACCGTCCCATCCCAACTCATGGTACACATTCAACAGAGAAAGAGAAAACCATCTTTTGGACCTTATAGGTTGCTAGTACATCTGCGCCTGTACCTGGAATCAAACCAAATAGGAGAATCCTTCTTCACAAGGAGGTTCTGCAGCATCACTTTGGCATTACTCACGTATCTTATATCAGGGGTGGGGAGGTTGGAGGTGGAGTAAGCAGAACACTCCACATACAATCTCCTCCTTTAGAAAGTGGCTTTTCAAATATTGTTTTCTTCTTGCCATGATTATAAATTGGCAAAGGGCAGCCCCAGTCTCCAGGAGTTATTTGAGATAAATTTTTTTCCTACCCATGATATCCAAAAAATCAGTTTTTTGTTTGAGGTGTTTTTTCTGGCCCTTACAGTAGTGATCTGTCTAGTAACACTCCCTCTACAATATCTTGGGATCAAACATTACTAGTTCTTTGCCATAGATGCTATTGCCACCCCCTCTTTCTATGGCAAAGTCCAGGCCAGTGGATCTTGACCTGAACTGTGCATTAAGACCATCTTAAAGTCTTTAAGAGTCAGTTTTTAAGAGGCAGACACTTTTTAAGCAACACCAAGCTTACAGTTCTCTGGGTGATTCTATATTCAGACCAGTTTAAAAACTACCTGCTTAGTCTTATGACTCTTGCCCTTAGCCGAGTTGTTCATTTCAAATACACATTTGTTTCAACTGGAAAAATCATTCTGAATCGATGCCTGAGAAAGTTGCTGTTGATACTTTTGAAGTCTGTATTTCTCAGAGCAGTGATGATCAATATTACTGCTCCCCAAGGCACTCTATCTTTCCTTTTTGAATTCCACATAGTTTCAGGCATGTTTGCTCAAGAAAAAGGAAATGCTTATACACTCACTTATAAAACCTGCATCACATTGATGTCCACAAAATTAGTCACTGTTTTTCATTCTTAGATGTAACCCCTGGCTATGTAAATTCAAAGTTTATTACTGACCAGTTTCTTCTTCAGCTCTAAATCTGAAGTCGAAGGGCAGCTGCTCTAGTGTTTCTCTTTCAGTCTTAAACTAGCAATTTATAACTAGAACTCCCTGGTATTGGTATGTGAGACATCTTTTTTGGGGTCTGTAGCAACAAGTAGCAAATATTTTTCTATTTATCTTTCCTAAAAGGACTCCCGACTATCAGCTTTGTCCTCTGACTTAGTGGTTGTTGATTTAGTTTGCACACTAGTATTATCTGGAGTGCTTTAAAAATCTCCATGCCCAGGTGACACCTGACCCATTTAAATCAGAATCTCGGGATGTGCACATGTGGGGGAAGAAGCAATATATTTAATGATTTCCACCCCCCATAAAAACACTTCCTGAATACAGTCCTAAAGTTATTTAATAGAATTTATTCATATATGGGTACATGGTGTGTTTTATAACGCAAAGTATTACTGGTATGGTGTTACTGGTCTCATCTATGTCAGCTTACTAAAGCCTCCAGCTGCTCTCCTGGTCTTAAGCTGAAACCCTCCTGCAGCCTACATAAGCTTACTAGACCACATACAGCCAGTGCAGCCATTATAAAAGCAATCCTATGGGCAAGAGCCCACACCAGATAAGCTTCGGTCATCTAAAAAGTTAAACTATCTCACATGGCAGGCTTAAAGCCTTAGTGTATTACTTTTTCTATTGCTGCTATAACAAGTTACTTTTAAAAAGCCAATGGCTTTAAGCAAGACAAATTTATTTTCTTGCACTTATGCAGGTCTGGAGTCCAAAGTGGGTCTTCATGGGCTAAAATTAAGGTATCAGTGGTTCTGCATTCATTCTAGAGGTTCTAGTGGAGAACCCCTTTCCTGGCCTTTTCCAGGCTCCAGAGACCACTGGCATTCTTTGGCTTATGGTCCCCTTTCATCTTCAAAACCAACCATCACAGCACCCTGATTCCATGTCCATTATTCCATCATTACATTTCCTTCTCTGACTCCTCAGCAACCCTCTTTAATTTCTAAGGACCTCGTTGTTACTTACATTAAACCCACCTGTGTAACACAGGATACTCTCCTGTTATCCCCATATAAAGGGGGTTAGATTATTAGCAGCTTTAATTCCCCCTTGCATGTAACAAAATATTTCATTAAGTTAAACATGTGCTTCAGCATGTTGGAAAGTTTTAATATTTTAAACCCCCATTTCAGAGTTTTTGTTTATTATCTTATAAGAATATTGGATTGCTCCCAAATAGTGCAACTTCTTGCTTCAAATCAATATGAGACTCATTCTATTTTTCAGGATAAACAAGGCTAACTATTCCAATACACAAGTGACACAAGTCTCCATGGCACAATACTGCAAATGTATATATATATATATATATACACGTTTGTATATATATATGTGTATATATATGTATATATGTATGTATATATGTATATATATGTGTGTATATATAGTATGTGTATATATGTGTATATATGTATATACACACGTATATATGTGTGTATATATATATACACGTATATATATGGAGAGAGAGAGAGAGAGAGAGAGAGAGAGACAGTCTTGCTCTGTTGGCCAGGCTGGAGTGCAGTGGCACGATCTTGGCTCACTGCAACCTCTGCCTCCCCGGCTCAAGCAATTCTCCTGCCTCAGCCTCCCGAGTAGCTGGGATTACAGGTGTGTGCCACCATGCCCAGCTGATTTTTGTATTTTTCGTAGAGATGGGGTTTCACCATGTTCGCCAGGCTGGTCTCAAACTCCTGACCTCAGGTGATCCACCTGCCTTGGCCTCCCAAAGTGCTGGGTACAAAGGTTTATTTTTTATTCATTTTACAGGTGCAACCCTTGTCAGAGTGGGCTCTGCCTTCCATAGTTATTCAGGATCCCCTAGTGGATGAAAGCCTGGTTATCAGTCACACCATCTGGAATATGTAATTACTGTGGAAGAGGAAAAGACACACTACAGTGCATCTTAATTGCCTGGAAGCTGAAAGTGACATAACTCATTTCTGACCACATCCCATTGGCCAATCCTAATAGCATGGCCCCAGCATAACTGCAAGGGAAGCACATGTATTTGGTTAGCCCTCTGTACACATGGTAATTCTAAAATTTAATGTCCAAAATTTTCCTTCTATTCTACGTGAGCAAATCCCCAATTATGTAAATAAAAAACAAAAACCTCCAAACAATGGGTCATCTTTTGTTTCCCACATTATTTTGTAACTGATATTCAATTCATCAGAAATTCTGTTAGCTTGATATAAAGAATATCCTGAATTTGATCACATCTCACAACATCTACTAATACCAACCTCCTTCCTACTAGCTTTACATACATAGAAAAATTCTTTTTTGTGTTAAAGTAAATTTAATTTAAAATTACTTTTAAATTAAATGTTTTTATGTAACATGCATGTCTGCCTTGTGTGTATATGTGTAAACACACAGAAAAACATTTCGTGAATACTATCCTAAAGTTATTTAATAGAATTTATTTATATAGAATTTAATAGAATTAATTTATATATATAATATATGTAAATATAAAATTTATTTATTTATATAAATAAATAAATAGAATTTATTTATGTATGGGTACATGGTATGTTTTATAAAGCAAAGTATTACTGGTATAGAAATACCACATAAAATACAATATATTACATATTTTAAAACTAGCCAAATGTTGAGAACATTTAGACAAATTATTCACTAAATAAGGATAATTTTTTAATTTTTGAGATGAAGTCTTCCTCTGTCACCCAGGCTGGAGTGCAGTGGCGTTATCTTGGCTCACTGCAACCTCCGCCTCCCAGGTTCAAGCGAGTCTAGTGCCTCAGCCTCCTGAGTAGCTGAGATTACAGGTGTGTGCCACCACATCTGGCTAATTTTTGTATTTTCAGTGGAGGCAGGGTTTCACCATGTTGGCCAGGCTGGTCTCGAACTCCTGACCTCAAGGGATCCACCCACTTGGCCTCCCAAAGTGCTGGGATTACAGTGTGAGCCACCATGCCCAGCCTAAATAGGGACAATTGAACAAAAATTACATTGACTGTCTTAGTTGATAGGAAATATTGCATTTCTGTAAGATCAACAGGCAGTGGAGTCAATTTCGTTATATTAAATAATAAACAGCTAGAAGTGGTTTCAAAAACTAAAGCCTTTTTTTAATTGATAATCTTATTTTTAAAATAGACATATGTCTAATACAATTCCTCCTAAGTATATTTTCCAGAATGCATTAAATGGGAGTTTAAGTGAATTTTATAATATGTAAATGACAACTACCTACTCAAAAGTTTTTGGAGGATTAAATTAACCAATAAATTAAAATGCTCCAGGAACAATGCACATATGTAATAAGTACTCAAAACCTGCTATTATTTAATTATTGATATTATAGTAGTTTTCACGGTGTAGTAGTTGGAAAAGAGTTAGTTACTGTATGTTGATAGGAATGGATAGAAAGAAAAATTCTTACAACACATGCGACTCAATAATTAACCACATTTTCAAGAATTTAGTAATGTTAATGAGCCCTGCATAGCTAGGATACTCCTTTGCAAATACTTTATTTCAGCTATAGAGACATGTAAAAACACGGCCAACCTCTCTTGCAACCCCAATTAGGGACAGGGGATGAGCAATGCCTCACTAACGGTACTGGAAAACAACAAAATTAATATCAATTCCTGAGATTTTTAAAAGGAATGCTGAAACCTTATTTTCCAACAACTTGCTTCTTTCAAATGTCTGCAATCGTTGTTCTTTCAAAGGAGTAATAATGGAGATTATGATGACTAAAATCAGAATGATTAGTAGGTAAAATTCACTTATGCTACATTGCATTCCATTTACACTAATTCAGCCCTAGTTTACTGCTACTTATAACTGTCTTATAAAGACAGTTATAAAGACAAATGTACTACCTGCTCTTGAAGATCCTGTAGTGAGAAAAAGAGATGCATTTGTTCGGAAATTAGCACACTACATTGTCACAACTGCCATGATAGTGGCATGAAAGGGAAATTTGTCAGGGAACTATTAACAGGATAAGTAACCTTTGAGTTAGCCCTAAAGAGTAAATAAAATATACACAATAGGAAACACAAAAAAATACAGAACAGAAGAAAATATTCCAAGAAAAAAAAAACACAAAGAAAGACATTAAATTCAAATGAGGTTGTAATTAGGTAACAGGATTCCTCTCTATGTCAGTTTAGAGCAACAACTTTTGTCTAATTTAAGAGTGAAAAGAGATATTAGGATTGTAAGGAAAATGGCTGCACTTAAGTCAGGAGTAGGCTGAGGTGGCCTTCAGGTGCAGCATGAGTCAGCATGTTTGGAGTGCAGGCGCAGGCTACTTGCTGCAGCCAGGTGGAAATGTAGAATCTTTTCTGTTTGATTAGGGAACTGGCCGAGGTGCACAGCTTGGGGGGACATGAGATGCCTGGAGGCCACATGTGGAATTAGTGATCCACTGGTCCCCCACCAATGTACAGTGGGTGCTGGCACTGATGGATACTGGCACAGATTGCAGCCTTGTTTATGAGAACCTGGATAAGTTTCCAGGCAAACCTGCTTACATTAACAGTTATGGAGGCCAGTCAGTGAAAGTGAATCCTGTATCTCTGCACCTTGTCATTGGCTGTTTTTCTCCCCATTTTTATACTGTTTATGTCTCTCTCATGCTGGAATACATTCTGAGGATGGACATTTTACATGGCCTGGCATTACCAACTATGACCAGGGAATTCAGACTCTGAGTGTGTGTGGTAAATCTGGTGCTCTGCAGACATACGCATTATCAGCCTCAGGACCTGCCACAACCCCAATGGGTTATTTCCACCTGTCAATACCATTTGCCAGGGGCGCATATGGAGATAACTGAGACAATTAAAAAGCTGGAGGAGGTGCAGAGAGTGAGTGGCACCCACAGTCCCTACAATTCTCCGTTGTGGCCAGTTAGAAAGCCTGATGGAACTTGGTGGATGAAGGAGGACTATCGGGAACTGAATAAAGTAACCCCCAGCTGTACTGTCAATGTCAGTTATGCATTTGATGGACCATTTGACAATGGAACTGGGATAGTACCACTACGTAGTGGACTTGGCCAAAGCATGTTTCTTCATAGACATTCTCTAGAGAGCAGGAACAGTTCACCTTCATGTGAGATGGGTGACAGTGGACTTTTACAGTGTTGCCATAGGGTTATGTGCATAGGCCCACATTCATCATGGTCTAGTTGCCACAGATTTAGCCATCTGGCAATGTCCAGAAGGGGTCTGCCTATTCCATTATATTGATAATATTATGTTAACCGCTGGTTCTCTTGCAAATTTAGAAGCAGCAGTGCCCCTCTTGCAGCAACATTTGGCAGCATGTGGTTGGGCCATCAATGAATCCAAGGTCCAAGAGTCTGTATTATCTGCCAAATTCTTGGGAGTTATCTGGTCAGGTAAAATAAAGGCCATCCCAGAGGCTATTAATGATAAGATTAAGGCATATCCCCAGCCCACCACGGTGAAGCAGCTGCAAACTTTTGTGGGTCTCCTGGGATATTGGCAGACATTTGTGCCTCATTTAGCTCAAATGATAAAATCTTTGTATTGGTTAACAAAGAAGGGAGCTACCTGGGATTGGGATGATGTGGCTGAGACCACCTTCCTGGCAGCCACGCGATTCAACTCAGCAGGCACAAGTCCTATGGGTAGTTGACCAGGGGCACCTGTTTGAGCTGGATGTGCATGGGACCACCAATGGTTTCAAATGGGGTCCGTGGCAGCACAAGGAGCACTTGAGAACACCAGTAGGCTTTAGTTCCCAACTATAGATGGAAGCTGAGCTCTGGTATTCCTTGACAGAGAAAGAGCTAGCAGCTGTCTATGCTGCCCTTCAGGCTTGTGAGAGTGTGACAGGATGGGCTGCAGTCATCGTGCAGATGACTTACCCAATAGCAGGATGGGTGCATTCATGGGTAACAACCCCTTAGACTGGGATGACACAGACATCCACTTTGGCAAAGTGGGGCGCCTACTTGGAGCAGTGGAGTACACTGAGTACAAGCCCCTTAGCAGCAGAGTTGCAAAAGATCTTGAAACCTGTAGTCCTAATACAAGATAAGACCATGAGGTCTGAGGCACCCCTAGACCCTGAGCCTTGTTTAAGGAAGGGCATCCCCCCATTCTCAATGGTGCATGGTACACAGATGGGTCTAGCTGAGGTGCTACTGCTGCCTGGACCACTGTTGCAGTCTAACCTAGTACTGACACCATATCGTTTGAAACTGGGTGTGGACCAAGTAGCCGATTGGCTGAACTTAGAGCAGTATGGATGGTAATCATTACAGAGATGACACCTATGGTAATCTGTACCAATAGATAGGTGGTTTATCAAGGCTTAATTTTCTGGTTAACTACCTGGAAAACACAGAAGTGGCTAGTTAGCCACTGACCCATTTGGGGCCAAGACATGTGGCAAGACCTCTGGGAAATGGGTCTTCAGGAAGAGGTAACTATTCATCATGGGTCAGGCCATATGACTCTGGTCACCCCCAGCAATGATAATGGCCAAGGTCCAATGGTTAGAGTCAGCACCTACATGAGATGTGGCCTTGTGGCTACACTAGAAAACGGGACATGCAGGAGGTAAACTGATGCAACACGTCAATAAGCATTGGGGGTCTGTCCCTGCACATGGAAGACATTTAGAGGCTTGTCAGAAATGCCTGGCATGTGCTCAGGCATACTGCAAATGAAGAGAGCTGCCCAGTGTTGTACATCAAGTAACGATAGGGTGAGTGCCCTTGACCAGGAGGCAGGTAGACCACATAGGGACGCTGCCAAAGTCACAAGGTTATATGCATGTGCTAACAGCTGTGGACATGACCACAGGCCTGTTGTTTGCCCACACTTTAAGGGTGGCCGACCTACACAACACTATCTGAGCCCTGCAACACTTATGTGCCCTCTATGGTTGCCCTCTGGCCACTGAGAGTGATAGTGGAGCACGTTTCAATGGACAAAACGTACAACAATGGATGCAACAAATAGACATAAAGGGGGGATTCCATGTGCCATATAATCCACAAGCTATGGGTAGGATTGAGCAATATAACAGGCTCTGGAAGAATGGGTTACACTTGCAGGTCACACCCATGTCTTTGCAGGGCTGGAGTTCCAGGCTGGACCTGGTTCTCCAAACCTTGAGTGAACAGCCACAGAAAAGTGGCCCGGCCCTGATGGAGGCGTTGTTACACCCAGCCGCTGCCCCCATTCAGTTGCAGATACATACCAAGGATGACCTCCCCTGACCAGGTACGGAAACGAACAGTAACCTGTTGCTGCCTGCTCCAACACCCCTGAAAGAAGGGGAACAGAAAACCTGGCTGTGGCCATGGATCCTCCAAACCCCCTACTGCTGGCAGTTGGCCACTGTAGCTCCTTGCGGGGAGGAACTACAGTATGACTTGCATGTCACTCCTTGGGCATTCAATACATGGCCCCAGTGGTTGGCTGTTCATAGAGGAACGGTCAGGGAGGGAGCCCTTCTCCAGAGGACATATGTACTGTCTGTGTGGCCTATTATGAGCTCCCCTGTGACACTGGCATGGATATAGGACCCAAAAGAACCATGGGGAGCTGAGAAGGTGTGGTGCCATCACCCAGGGCAGAAGCCCTTGGTGAATGCATTGTTATCCAGGGATGGAAGGTTAGCCTGTATTTTGCCTGAGGGATGTGATTTACCTCTGTTAGTACCTGGACCTACTCTGTCATTTTGACTGTAGGTTAACATGCTCCCACTGCATTGTGGACTGGGCCCTCACCTATACTGAGGTGACCCATGTTTCCAACTGTTGGATCTGCACTGCTCTTCCAGCAGCAGCTGTGGATGGCTTACCTTAGCACATACCTTCAGCGTCTGCAGAGAACAAGACATAGCTGGAGACTTGGGGTCCCATGGCCGACGCCTGGAATGCAATGCGGCAAGCTTTGGAGAAAGGACACCACATGACCCACGGCATGCCTGCCCCCTGGCTGGCCTGTAGCATTTTTGATGGGTGGGGCTGGCTAGTGGGGGAACAGGTAATACCCCATAACCCAGGCACCGTGGTGCATAGAGCAATGTTGGGGTAACACGACTGTGGGATGGGTATCCATCAAAACACATGTCACCACACCAAAGGATGGTGGAATAAGTGGCCCAACCAAGGTCGGGCCCCAATGGATTTTGTGTCCCCTGGGAGTTTATGGGTCTATGGGGACACAGGGTGGCCTTACCTACTAATGTACTAGACTGGATGTTGTACCTGGGGGGCTGGCCTTATATACCTGCCATTGTTCTCCCCACGTTGCCCAGACACTCACATAACTTGGAGGCACTACACTCTCAGTGACGAGGCCCCTGACGGTTCTATCCTTTGGCAATGACTATTCCTGGAATGAATGTCATATCTGTAGAAGCACAAATTACTGCTCTTGCAGAGCACACCTCTCAGGCTCTATATTACACCCCAGTGGCACTCCTCTTGTTAACAGATGAGGTTGATCAGATCAGAAAGGTGGTGTTGCAAAACTGAATGGCCTTAGACATAATAACTGCTGACCAAGGAGACACCTGTGCCCTTTTAGGAACACAATATTGTACCTTTATCCCTGATAATCAGCAGAATGTAACAGCAGCCCTGCAAGTGTTCTCACGGGAGATTAAGGTGGTTGAGAGCCTTACTGATGACCTCCTGCAGAGATGGTGGACATCCCTAGGCTCTGGTCTTTGCTGGGCCCTAATAGTCATAAGTAGCACAGCTGAGATCCTAGTAGTGAGCTGTTGCTCTCTGTATTGTTGTTGTGGGTTATGGATTCAGGCTCCACCCTGTGAGCCCGTGTCCCTGCCCAGAGAATGCCCTCAGCCTAGGGCATGGATTGTAAGGGAAATGGCTGTGCTTTAGTCAGGAGTAGGCCAAGGTGGCCTTCTGGCACAGCATGACTCAGTGGGTTTGGAGTGCAGGCACACACCCTGCACATTATGTGATCATGCTACGTGAGGCGCATTAGGTGATCATCCACGTGAGCTCATGCTTGGCTCAGAGTCACTATTGTCCGTAAAAGGTATAATTACCCTGCTAACGCTGACACATATGTCAGGCTCACTTGCACCCAGCCTCGCTAGCGCCCAGAGAGAGAGTAAAGCCATGTGGAAGCTGTCTACGATTCCTCTAGTGTTTTTCCAGCTACCCGCCACTTGTGCATCCATTCCCCTTGGACCTCAGTTAGAACCTGACGAGGATGGATTCCTCTTCAGCTATATTTTATCTCCTATAATATGTTTACTATCTAATTCTGAGACAGAGTAGGAATAGGACTCAGCCTCCCTCTGCCGCCAGCAATACATTTTTTTTTATCTTTCTTTTGTGCTTTCCTACCTGCTCACCATGGCACCTTGAAGAAACTAGGCTAAGCAGCTTTACCTTAAATCTTACTCAAAGGAGTTAATCCTATCACCCATATGCACACAAGACGAGAATGACCAACTGTTACCCCTTGCCTCATTATAATACTAAAATCTCTGCTCAAGGAGGAGCTTATCCACCAGTTTTTGATCCTGTGATGTATGTACTAACATGATTTGTCACTGCACCTCCACACCCTGAGCTCCACTCTGCACATGTAATGATGTTCACATACCTCATGCTTATTCATATCTTTCTTCTTAAAACATCGCAAAGACCCACCCTTGGGAGTCAGCTAGAGAACTCTCGCTCCAGTGCTGTCTCCCTTGTGTTCCAATATAAGCCCTTAATAATGCCTTGTCTAAGAAACTTGCCTGTCTTCCCTCTGAACTTCTATTGCACGGGAGCCTAAGAATCTATGGTGGTAACAGTTCTATAGAATAACGGTTATGATTTGGCTTGTTATGACAACTTTTCTTCCATTTATGCATTGTCGCATCCCTGAAAGTTCAGTTGTGTGGATGCCTTTATAGCACTAGTTGATCAAAGGCTGTTGCTCAAGCGGTGTTGCCCTCTTCAACCATAATGTTGGTTCTTCCATCTGTTTTTTTGGGGGTCAAGGACAGAAAAGCTTACTTTTTTTCATGTCTGTATGTAGAGCACAGACTGCCTGACTCAAATATTTGTTTAAATATGATAAATTATTTGAGACAACTTGTTTGGTTTATTTTCAGCTATGCATTTTTATGTTTATTTATACTCATTAGTTGGCAGCACTTAGGTTTCAATTACTCTTTATGATAACACTAAATATGATTGCCATTTTATGCATGTTTTTCCTTCTATTTGAATTTTTTCTTAGAAAATTTCCTTAGGAAAGAAATAGAATTGAGTCAAATTGTGTGAATATTTTTAATATCCATGGTACATGGTGCCAAATTGCTTTCCAAAAAAAGCTGTTCTAATTTCCATTCCCAGTACAGAGGTAATTACGCCTCTTTCTCTGTCCTCTTGTCTCAATAAGAAGTGCTTTTCATGGTCAAATAACCTTTTCCAAGCTCTGAGATTCAGAACAAAGTGTCAGAAAGCTTTTACGTAAAGCAAATAGTTTTTACACTAGTTTACCGATGTCTTGAACTATACAGGACAAATATAACAGCATCATCAAGAGGAATTACGAATAAAATTAAATAGAAAAACTTTCCTTGCAGTTTGAACAGTATAGCAGGATGGGAAAATAAGAACTACCTCTCCTATTTCAAACAGCTAGGACTGCTGGATAAAATGTAACAACAACAACATCAACATTTACATTTATACATCTGGTTGAAATAAAGAGAAATTCCATTTTGCAGAAGCTCCTGAGCTGTTACCCTGGCAGCTTTGGATGCGGAAAGGGAGTCAGAATTTTACCTGGAAATGAGCCTGTGTTTGGTTCTGGAGGAACAAGAGCTGGAGACAGGACTCATGCAGATGATTTATTCAAGGCTTTTCTTTAGGAAAAGCCTGCAAAGATGCATATAAAGCAGGACAGCAAAGAGGAAAGGCTTGGCATGACACACAGGGAGACTTTGGCATATAAAGCATACGGCAGAATAATCCACACCTCGAGGCTAGGGCCTTTTATACTCTGATGTCGGTGGGGCATTGACTGTGGCTTGGGGTGCAGGTAGATAACTTCTTAGGTCAGATGACTTTCCTCAATCAAAAGGCAACTTGTTGGAGAAAAGCGTGGCTGCAAGTCATCAGCAGCCTGCAATCATAGCATCTCAGGGATTGATATCCTGTTGAGGCAAAGGGGATCTTTGTAGGGTACCTGCACTGTCCACTATAAGAACCTAAAGTTGGTGCTGTCAGTTTGGAAAGCATGTTGTCTTATACAAGAAAACTAAAATACTCTACTTATTAATGCAAACAAAACAATGAAGCTTGTCGCTCTTATCTGATTGAAAAGTAAAGAAAAATCTTCCATGAGAAAGATAAACCTGAAGCTGCCTTTCTTGCATGGATGTAGATGACAAATTTAAGTTACTCACATGTTAAGTAAATGCTACACCCAGAAATTCATATAAAAACTGACCCTGCTTTAGTTATGCCATTGGAAAACTTAGTAGAAAAGAATGAAAAATGCAAATGCAAAATGGAAAATGACTTTTCCAGTGCCCAAAATACATGAATGTCCTTTGGTTGCCTGATGATCTGTAGGTAGAACACTGAAGATGAGCTTACTTTAAAAGATAAAATCCACATCAGGGAACATCTACCATGAGATTAGTCAATAGAAACCACACTCAGTAGAAATAGTATCCTAAGGATGAAAAAAAAAATGAACAATTTGAAGAATATGGTAACAGTGATATTTTAATGACTAAAGCAATCAAAGTTATAGCCTTTAAGTATGAAGCCTTCTTCCTAAGACAAAAGAGAGAATTATGAGTAAAATATTAGCTCAAATAGTAAATTATATGCCCCTGTCATAAGAAATTTCTGAAATATTTGATTTCACATGCCTCTCTACCATCATTCTTTCTTTTTTAACAAAAATAACTGAGTTATATGATTATTGGATTTCCCATATAGAAAGTGGTATGTATGTCTATTTGTATATATATTTATATAGGTGTGTGCATATATTTTTATATATTCATATTGGTATCTATAGATACATCTTTGTTTTTTACACTTGAGCTAATCCTAACTTAATTGAATACAACTGCTTTCCAACTTTTAGAAATAAATGCACAATTATGATTTTAAATGTATTCATTTTCATTTTACATTTTTTAAATACACCTTAGCCATTTCATTGCCATTTGCTTTCCACTTTCACCATCCAGAAAAATCCAACAGGTAAAGAGGCTCTGTTATTCAGTTTTTTCTTTTTTTATTCATTGACTTCATGCTGAATTGGGTAATGCTTATTTTAAAAAAATGTTAGAGGGTCACACCAAATTATAGAATATGTATCTTTAATATCTTGAGTAATGTCATATATATACATATATACATCATATATATATACACACACATATATATGTATATGTACATCTCTCCAAAAGAATTCCTGGAAACTAATAAATAGCATACTCCTGAAGACTGAAGAAGGACTTATTTTGTAAGTAGGAAAGGAATAAGTACCAATGACATGCATGAGATAACAAGGGAATGTAAAGGTTGTCACTGTCTGGGATTGTTCAATATGAATATACAATGCATGCATTAATAATTAACATTTGTTCAGTGCCTTTTAAATATTAAGAATACCTCTGCGAACATGCAGTTAAATTCCCAGCCAATATAAAGTTAAAATTCTAGAGGAAAAAAGACAAATAAATTAACAAAAATAAAATATTTCAGGTGGTGATCACTGCTACTGTGAAACTCAAAGCAAGGTGAGTGCCAGCACAGGGTGTGGTAGGGCAATAGTGTTTCATAGAGGGTGGTCAGAAAAGGCATTCATTTAAAAAATGGTATTTAATAAGAATAAAGGAAATGAGGAAAATAATTATTCAGGAGAAGGAAGTTTTGGGCAGAAAAAGTACTTGGTATTTCCAGTATTACAAATGTCAAAGACAGGGAGTATTTGGTATTTCTAGAAACATCAAGTAGGACAATGTGTAAACTAAAACAAGAAGAGGGGCAGGTGATCCTACTCAGAATGGTCAAGATGCCAATCAGTACAGATCTTGAATTTATCACCTTGTGTCAACTGTACCTGCTTTCCCAGAGTCCAGAGCTCCATTGCAACCTTTTCAGAGTCTAGACTTGTCTGAGTGGGGACAGGTATGCCTGACTTCAAGGGAGGAAGAGTAATCTCTTTTCAGCCTCATCCTGCAACAAAGAATCTGAAGCCTCCAATTCTAGGGTCTTCCCAGGGTTCTGGACTGTAAATTAGCCAACTCACATTGGTTTCATCCTTAGCTGAAGTTCCGTATTTCCTTTTTTCTCCTGTTTCAATTACTTTTTGTTCATCTATTCAGTGTGTTTAAAATTGTATCAACATCTCTTGTTTACTGTCTTTTTGCTTGTTCATTCTCTTTGTGTGTGTGAGTGCATATGTGCTTATTCCTTTATTGCAATTTTAGTAGACTTTCAAGAGAAATTAGAGATTAAAACTTGTTTAGTGAGTCAAGGTTAAATAGAGTTCAATATCTTGACTTTTCTTGGCCAATATTACCAGAGGTTTGGTATTTTATTAATCTTAACAAATAACTAGATTTTGTTTGTGTGGGCCCTCCCCCTTTTTGCAGGTGTTTTCTAATTCATTAATTTGTGATTTTATCTTTATTTCTGCCCTTCTACTTCATTGTCTTTACTCTATTTTTGTTCCCCTAAGTTCTTATATTGAAATATTAGATCATTAGATTTTAGACTTTCTTCTATTTATAAAAGTAATTATTTAAGATGAAAATTTTCTAAGCTATCCTTATGTATCCCTCGGTTTTCTCTATAAATATTTCAACTAGTATTCAGTTCTAAAATGTTCTTATTTCCATACGAATTCTTCTATAGTTTAATAAAATGTTTTAATTCATTCATGTAGTTATATATGAATATATGCTATTGAAAACACTAATCTCTAATTGGTTTGCATCGTGGTTAGAGGTTTATGGATTGTATGAAACTAATGTTCACATTTGTTAAATTTTATTTTGTGCTTTGGCATGTCGTAAAATTTGAATATTTTCCAGTTGTATTTAAATAAATGCATACTTTTTTATTGGTAACTGCTAAATTTTGTGTTTTTCCACTAAGAAGATGCTTTAATTGTATTTTTCAAAATTGCTAAATCATTACTTCTTTTAAGCTGTTTGATCTATCAACTATCACTAAAAGCATGTAAATATCTTCCTCTCTGAATAAAGATTTGTAAGATTGTTTTTGTAATTCTGACAATTGCTTGTAATTTATTTTAAAGGTATTTTACTAAACCATATATAATCATATTTTTCCATCTTCTTTCAGAATTATTCTTGTTTTTAACAGTGCTTTCTGCATTATTTCATCCTTTTGTAAGCTATGCTAACATTTAAAATGAAAAATCTATGTTTTTCATAAAAATTACTATATGTAAATGTATATGTATATTTAATTATTCTATGCTCTTCTTTCGGGTGTGTCTTTGTAAAAACTAGGTACTTGGATTTTTGCTAGATTCTCTCTGACTTACAAATAGGTCAGGTTAGTCCACTCACACAACTGATTGCTGTGCTATTTGAATATTTTCTACTACATTATTCTGCTTTCTGTTTATTATGACTTTTTTGTTTTCTTCTCTTTTTTTCTTACATTGTAATTCTATATTTAATTCAATATTCACTATTTCCTTTAATTCTTTCTATTTCATGTGATTACCTTATTTCCTTCCTTCCTTCCCTCCCTCCTTTCTATTCTATTTCCTTCTTTCCTTTTTTTTAGTCATTACCCACTACGTTTTTTAACACACCTACCTGACATTGACTTCTAAACATACCAGCATTTCTTTCCACCTTCTAAAATGTCTTCCCACCTCTTAGAAAGTTTTAAATTCTACCATTCTTGTTTCATTTTATATGTTACGTCTATCCAATATATTCATTTTTTCTTTTTTTTTTAACTTTGGCATTCAGATTTGAACATTTTTTGTTAGATTGAAATTTCAGCATTTTGTTTTTTAATGCTATTGCAAATTGTACTGTGTAATTTAAATTCTAATTGTTCAATTATAATTTTTATATTAAGCTTGTATTTTGTAAACTTGTGAAACTCATTTATTAGATCTAATGGTTCTTTTTTTAAATAGTTTGGGATTCTCCACATAAACAGTCATGCCATTTGAAAATAAGAGCAGTTTTTTTTTTATTTCTAATAGTTTGACCTGTTAGAACTTTTTATTTCTTTTTCTACCATTATTGCAGTGGCTAGGTATTCCAGCTAATGTTTGTTATTATTTTATTTTTATTATTATTTTAGATGGAGTCGTGATGCAATCACTCCAGGCTGGAGTGCAGTGGTGCAATCTCAGCTCACTGCAACCTCTGCCTCCTAGTTTCAAGCGATTCTTCACCTCAGTCTCCCAAGCAGCTGAGATTAGAGGTGCCCACAACCACGCCTGGCTAATTTTTTGTATTTTTGGTAGAGACAGGGTTTCACCATGTTGGACAGGCTGGTCTCGCACTCCCGACCTCAGAAGGTCTGCCTTGGCCTCCCAAAGTACTGGGATTACAGGTGTGAGCCACCATGCCCCGCCCCAGCTAGATGTTTCATATGAATGGTGACAGTGGATATCTTTGTCTTGGTTATAATGTTTTGAGGAAAGCATTCATTCTTTTGCCATTAAATTGCAATTGAGCAAAGTTAGCATGAGTAGATGTTAAATTTTATAAAATGTGTCCTACTCATATGATGACACTGCCAATATTTTTCTTTTAGTTACTTAATGTGTTGAATTACATTTCTAGGTTTTCAAATATTGACCCAGACTTACCTTTTTTTGGATAAACCTCACTTGATATTGATGTATTATCACTTTCATATATTGTTGGATCAAATTTGTTAATATGTTGAAGAGTTTTGCATCTTTATTAATAAAAGATAGTATAGTTTTCCTTTTAATGATATTTTACCACTTTTGATATCAGAATAATGCTAGCCTCATAAAGTGAGTTGGAAAGTACCCACTATTTTCCCATATTATTGAACATTTCATATAAAATTGTTATTTCTTTCTGTGTTTTTGGTTGAACTCACCAGTAGAGTTCTCTGGATTTGGAGTTTTCTTTAATTGCAGGTTTTTAACTATGAACTGAATTTTTTTAATAGCTACAGTATTACTCAGGGTGTGGTTTCTTGAGTAGGATTTAATTTGTATTTTTTGTTTGTATCTTCTCATTTTATCTTTTAAAGTACTTGTCCTTTTTATCTATGTTGCCAGATTTATGGGCATAAAATAGTTTGTAATATTCCCCTATCATTCTTTTTAAAATGTCCTTACATCTGCAGTTATAACATTACTTTCATTTCAGATACTTATTATCAATGTCTTTTCACTTTTTTAAAATCAAATCAATTATATTTAGCTGCATTCTCACCAAATTTCAAATGAAATAAAGTCTCTAATCATGTTTTTTAAATAATAAGGCCAGATTGGCAGGCGGTTTTGAGTCTTAGGTTGTTTTCTTGGTTGTTAATTATGAATCAGACACTTGAAAGTGTTAATATGCTACAGTGGATAATTACACCTTAAAAGAGCACTGTTTTTCCATTTTAATGCCCAATGATTTCAGCTTGTAAAAGTGTGGAGTAATACTTGAAAATACTAATGGCAGTAGAGAACCTGCATTAATTCCAATGAGATCATTTACATCCTCTAATCATTTCTGATGAGCCAAGAGGAAATGTAAAATATCTAAATTTATTACAAACAATTTAGCTTACTGATTATTGTGATTTGCATTGTATTTACATATTTGCTTTTCGGAGCTAAATTGATGCCAACAAAAACTGTACAAGAATTTCTAGTAATTAAGTTAGAAATAATTAGTCCATCTTCTATATTATCCATTGCATTAATATAGATTCTCCCCTGTAGGCTGTGTGGGGAGATGGTATTTTACAGTTTAAAACAGCACATCCTCAGCAGGATCCAATGCAGCTGAGGATATGGTGGAAAAAATAAAAACAAAAACACACCATGTTCTTGCTCCTCAGCAGAGGTCAAATAGATCTGTTCAGAAAATGGCTTCACATACTGTGACAGTTCCTCTGTACTGTACTATGTATTTTATAATCAAACTTATTCTGTATTTAAGTTAAAAAGCCAGCACTATGTAAAACCGATCTTTGAAGGTTTATAAGCATATTAAAGCCATAATTTTAGACAAAAGGGTACTCTACAGGGGACCACGTTCAGCTCAGTCCAGCCACTTATCCAATCAAAACTCACATCCTCGGGTTAGTGTTGGTCACAACCCCAGACTTGGTTACATAGCTTGCGCTTATTAAATATTTTTGAGCCTAATGGAAGAAGTGATCCTTCTCTGAAGACTTCTAAAATGAAGATTACTGTCATACGTATTTGATTTTGAGCCTGGATAACATAAAATACAACATTTCTTTACACTGAACTTAAATTTGCCTTCTCATACCTTTGACCTCTGTGTTATTAATATTTCTATATCCTAAAGATGAGCAAAGTCCCTCTAATCTCTTTCCAAATCACACACAAATAATTATATCCAAAGACAGTTAGCAAATAATATTTGTCATGTCTCTGATTGCTTAGATTTTTCTCGAGATACAGTGCTTTCAAGAGCCCTCATTTTCTTGACTTATTTTTAAGTTATAGCAGGATTTGTCATTATCCTTCTTAAATTGTGGTACCAAAAATATATACATAATACAGTAGCCTCTCTCAAGCATAAGAGTTAAGAAATTCCTGAAAACTGTGAAAGCACAGATTAAACATATATGACTATGCTATAAAATGAAAAGGATAGATAGGACTTAAATGACCAAAAATGACTTTTTATTCAAGTTATTTTCCCAGTGGTTATATTGTGTAATTCAATGCCTAGAATAATTTATCTGTAAAGACTACAAAGGATGTTTCCCTTAAGCTGCTTTTCCAAAAATGGGGTCTGTTATGGGTTAAATTGTGTTCCCCCAAAATAGATACGTTGAATCTGAACCCTGGTACCTGCGCATTTGGCTTTATTTGGAAGAGGGGATCTTAGAAATGCAATAGAGTTATTAATAATAGGAGCTCATTGGAAGTAGGAAGGGCTAACCTAATATGACTTCTTATCCTCTAATAAGAAGAGCAAAACTCAGTCATAGATACACAGGAGAATAGCATGTGAAGACAGAGGCAGAGACTAGAATGATGCATTTCTAAGTTAAGAAACCCTAGGGCTACCAGAAGATGAAAGAAACAAGGAAGGATACTCCCCTGAAGGCCTCAGAGGGAGCAGGGTCCTGCTGACTCCTTGGTTTCAGGCATCTGGTCTCCACAACTTTGAGAGTATATCTTTCTGTAGTCCTAACCCTCCTGGATTGTGGGAATTTGTGATGGCAACCCTAGCAAAATAACACAGGGTGAAAAGAATTATAAGCAAAACAACTCAATCACTACAGTAACTTAGTTAAGAAACCAAAAAGATGTCTTCCAAAATTAAGTTTATGATGTCATACTCTGATTCTATTTCCTGATAGCATTGGCTAGGGACATATTTCAACTAGGGGCTTTCATTTTTCCTGAAGGTGGCAATAAATTGTGTTAAACACCAGGGGCAAGAGAAGCCTTCACAAAAGAAAGCTGGATGGTAGAAGGTAGAACTGAGACAGAAGAGGCATTGCCTTTCTAGGCCTTGACCTCTGGGATCTAATGTACCAGAAATATAACTGATACAGACAAAAAGCAGGGAAATACTGGGTAAAAGAGGGTGTTTCCCAGCAAAGGCCCCACTCTCAAGCCTAGAAACTTGTGGTTCTAAGTGGGAACAGGCATTCCTGTTTTCACACCCAAAGGTGGCCTTTTGGCCCACCACACACCTTCTATCCTGTACTCATATAAACCCAAAGCCCCAGACTCCACAGCAGAAGAGCAGAGAAACAGAAGAACAGTGCGGCAGAGAAGGAGAGAAGAGAAAGGATGTCTGAACATTGAGAGGTGTTCAGCTGGGGACGGTCAGAGAGGAGATTGCCATGGGATGGCCAAACTCCAGGGGAAGATCATCTTCCCACTCCTTCCCATTTCCAGCTCCTCATTCATCCTGCTGGGAGCCACCTCCATTTGGCAATAAAATCTCCTGCATTTACCATCCATCAATTTGTCTGTGTGACCTGATTCTTCCTGGATGTCGAACAAGAACCCAGATACCATGAGGGCACTGAGCTGGTTAACACTTAAGCCATCTGCAAATGGCAGAGCTAAAAGAGCACTATAATATGCCCATGGGGGCTTCAGAAGTCACAGGAACCCACCTCTAGATGCTACTGTGGGGTCGGATCCCAAAAGCACTCACCCTCACCCTGGCCCCTGCACCTGCCCATCTGCATGCTCCCCTCCCATAAGGGGTTTGAGCACCTGGCAGCCAAACAGATGGGCCACATCCTTGTCGCATGTCCTGCAAGGAGGTTCAGGGAACTCTCCTGTTGCACAGCTGTAGTTGAAGGTAACTTTCCATTGTTTGGGGTTAACAATATCCTTGCAGTTTTCTAACTTTTATTCATTTGTTTATTGGTGATACTGAATAGTTAGAAAAAGTAGGGGGGCATGGCATTACATAATATTTTTTAAATGCAAAAATGGTAAGTGTTAATTGTTCTCACAACAAAAATGATAGCTGTATGAGGTAATTACTTAGACTTAACCACTTCATAATGTATATATACTTCAAAACATGTACATAATAAATACATATAATCATATCTGTCAATTAAAAAATATTAATAAAATACATAAATAATTAAGAAATGCTGCTCTGGCCATAGACTATGGGATAAATGAGCATAAAGAGACACTGAGATCTGGGAAATGAACTGTATGGTTGTTGTTGCAAAGCTCTAACTGAATGAAGTGTGAACTATAATCTATAGAAGATAAACTACAGGCTACTTGAACTTTAGAGAACACAAACATAGTACTGAAGGATGCATGAAGTATTTTTAATGTTTTAAGAAAATAAAAGAGAGAGAGAGGGAGAAGCTTAACATTTACTCGTAAGACTGTTAACACTGTTTTAAAACTTTCAGGTTTATTTGGTTTTGTCTTAAGTGAAATGAACTTAGTTTTTAAACCTTGAATAACTAATTGGAAACATAAAACGCTTTACCACCCATTCATTTTTAACGAGTAAAACAGTGTGTTAGGGGAAAACAACAGAAGGGATTTTGATGGTAGCAGCTCAGGGTCATTGCCTTAGGTCTGGTTCTTTCTCCACTGTGCTTACTCAGAGATGGCCTGCTCCCCACAGCCTGCTCAATCAGCAATCTCAATTATAGGGAGAAAGAGAACCAAGGTTATTTCTTCTTGCTTCAGAACTGAGAACAATTTTAATTTCAGAGAAATATGTAACTGCCACTCTGATTTATATAAGGATATGTGCATATAAGAGTTAAAAGAATTCCAAAAGTGATGTACTTTATTTATTGCCAAAATATGAAGCTAATTTATATTCATTTATACTGAAAGTAGGACACACTTGACAGCTATTAATCCATAGAGTAATTAACATTAGCTTTGCAAGCTGAAGATAATAGAAAAAGCTAATGCTGCGATATAAAATGTTTCAATGGATCATAATTAACACAAACTTTACTTTCTGATTAATCATTTTTTTCTTAGATTGTTTTATAGGTTATGCCTAAATAACAAAAAGGAATACAAAATTTTGGTAGTAAATGCTGGGAGTCCAAAAATGAAGTATAATTTCACTTTGCTATTATTTTTAATATATTTATTAGAGTTTGGATGGCTTCATATGAGATTATTATTACCATAAGGTCTTATCCATTTAAAAAAGGTAAAAATTAAAACAGTGCTTTTGCTATCTTTCTAGAACTCCAAGCAACATATTAAGAATGGTATAGGAAATTTTAATTCTTCATTATATATATATATTATATATATATATTATACTTTAAGTTCTAGGGTACATGTACACAACCTGCAGGTTTGTCACATATGCATAATGTGCCATGTTGGTGTGCTGCACCCATTAACTCGTCATTTACATTAGGTATATCTCCTAATGTTATCCCTCCCCCCTCCCCCCACCCCACAACAGGCCCCAGTGTGTGATGTTCCCCTTCCTGTGTCCAAGTGTTCTCATTGTTCAATTCCCACCTGTGAGTGAGAACATGCAGTGTTTGGTTTTTTGTCCTTGCGATAGTTCGCTGAGAATGATGGTTTCCAGCTTCATCCATGTCCCTACAAAGGACATGAACTCATCATTTTTTAAGGCTGCATAGTATTCCATGGTGTATATGTGCCATATTTTCTTAATCCAGTCTATCATTGTTGGACATTTGGGTTGGTTCCAAGTCTTTGCTATTGTGAATAGTGCCACAATAAACATACGTGTGCATGAGGAAATTTTAATTCTTAAATTATATTTAATACTGACTAAATATGTGCATGCTTATTATACTCTGATTACTGTTTTTCTAAAAAAATTTGAATTTTTTATATTTTCTTTCAAAATCTGTCAATAGTTTAAGAAAAAAACGTAGTGACACTGAAAATGATGTCATAATATATAAAACTGAAATAATGAAATCAGTAATTTTTTCTAAGTAAGATATATTTGCTAATTATTACAATTGAGAAAATATTCAGAATTCCCCTTTATAATACTAAATATCACCTAGTTACTTTCATTTAAAATATTATAAATACCAACCAAATTTCTTTGAATGTTAACATGATTTGTAAAATGGCTGAAATAAAGATTCTATTGTCTATGAAAAGATGACATCAATTTTTTTTACCTGTGTTTCCAGAGATACTAATAAGCCAAGTTCTGGCTTCCTTTCTTAGCTAGGACAGAAGATACTGTCCTATTACATGTGGACAGATTATATTCCTAGTCTATTTAGCCACATTAAATTAATACCATTCTTCCAAAAAAGAATTTACATGTCATAAATTATTACTATAAAACAACTCAAAACCCTACTGAATTGGCACTGAATTGGCAATGAATTTGAGGGATTATATATTTTCTTCTTTTTATCTTTTCCATAAAATTCATTTTCAAATTCTCAATTATTGATTCATAGCTCTCTGACTGCTATCCAACTTAGATACTGATTTATATTCCTCAATAAACCTCTTAGCAACTCACATGAAAATATTTAGTTTAGAAGTTCATTTAATGCATTTAAGCTTGGAGTCAAGGACCACTGCTAAAAGAACATAATGCCTATTTAACTGGAGTTTATATCTGGATTTTAAACAACAAACCATAAAACCTAATTATTTAAAAATTACTGCTTGAGCAAAAAAAATCATATATATCAATTTATTGGTGATATTTTTGTCATGGCATGATTAATATTATTTCAGTAAGTACTAGGATTTATTGACTATTTCAGTGGGAAATGGAAACCATAAAGGTACAAAGGACTACAGCATTGCTTTACTATTAATAAGGATTCTGCTTCTAGAAAGTGTAAGAGAATTCATAGTTGGAGCATGAAGATGCGCTACCTCATTCCAATGGACTCTGTATGAATATGGGCCTTATTATCTAGAATTTGAGGATATCAAAACAGATCATGACCCCAGCCAGCAATATGTCCCCTCAAGAACGCTCTCTTCATTTCTCACATCACAACCTGGGGTCCCTTCGTTTGGTTCTCTAGTATTTTTAACTTCCCTATTCTACCTGAAATTAATGCCTCTTCTCATTCTCACCACCTCTTGCATCTTGACAATCCTTGCAGTTGCAATTTGGGAGATACAGCTAAAACCTGTTCTTTTTCCCATTGGTCTTGACCTTGGCATACACCTATACCTGGGAGGTTAAGATTTCCCAAAGGGTACACGTGCATGGCTGTTTAGATCCTCAACTTCCACACAAACTCCTTCCCATAAGTTCCTTCTTTGATGTCGTTCTTCTCAATTCCCCGTCTCTAGCACTGCAAAAGAAGTTTATGCCTCTTGGGCATCCTGAGTCTTCTTATCTTGCATTGTCATTGATATTAAAAACCCTGAGCCACCTAAACAAGGGACAATTCCAAATCTTTTTAATTGTAGGAAGACCCACTTTCCATCTTTTGAGAGAGAAAGAGAGTTCTAGACTGAATGAGAATGAGAACTAGAATAGAGATTGTGGTCATAGGAATCTATATTAATACAAATATTTAGATGAAAAAATAAATTCGGCCTTTTTATAACAAAAAGCAAATCTCATTTGGCTGATTGCTTAGACAATGAAGACTGGGTTTGCCAATTCATTTATATGAAAGATGATTTTGATATTCATTGAACTAAACCTGTAGCTCTAAAATTTTCCAGAAAATATATTTAAGCATATGATAAAATGTATATTTTAATTAAAAGTATATAATTGAAAAGTGTGTATTGAGATTGAAAATAATTTAATTTTCCCAAATTATCTAAGTATTTCAGTTTATAAAGGAGTTTCTCTAAATGGGAAATTAACAGGTACAGTATACTTCCAAGAAACTAAAATATGATTGACTCTAATTACATATAAAAGAATCTTTTTGCATTTTTTCTTCAACAAAATTGAAAAGATCAGTAAATTATCAGGTAATAAATCTATAAATATTAACTGTAACATTCAACCAGTGTATGATTCCTAGCCTGTAATTCTAATGGAATTCAAATCATTGAGTGAAATGTTATAACAAAACACTTTCCATTCTCATTTACATAAATGATTTTTTCCCAATTATAGCACCTGAAAAATACATAACTATAAAATTTATTATGTACTTGGTTGGCATACTAGCAATAAGTATTATGTTTCCTCTCTCATTAAGAAAAGTATTTTAAATAATTATCCATTAGTGAAATTTATAGTATTCTGTATTGGCTTTATTAATACTCTTATTAACAATTGAAATGAAAACTCAATCTGAATAGTTTATTTTAAAATTTGGAAACTTCTAATCATAGAAATAAAAAGTGAATTTCAAGTGCATGTGGAGTATGTATGAAGAATTGTTCATTTCAGGGTGTACGATATGGAGATTAATAAAAGATGATGGGCTTACTTTCTGCTGGGGAACTGGAGTGGTAGTACAAGTTTTAAAACAAAAGGAGACATCATAAAATTGACACCTATTAGAGAAGTGCTTGCTTATGTATTTGTAAGTGAATGATTATTATTATCAAATATTATGGTGTTAGATTACATTTATACATGTAAATGCTTAATGTAATTCTAAATTTAACTACATGTAACATATTGGGAATTATATCCTTGCAAGTATTTAAACTCATGGTTCAAATTTTTAGATGTCAGTCTAAATTGTACAACAGTATGCAGAAGTTTTCTAAAGTATGTAATCACTACCAAGCCAAATTGTTTGGAAAACATTGTGGTATACACACCTTTTTATATTTACTGTTACTTGTTACAATTCAAGGCAAGTTGATTAGTCATTTAGTCTAAATTTCTTTAATTACACTACAAAAATTTAAATGTACAGTAGATAATTATTTCCTGGCGTTCCACTCTATATGGAAATGTAGGCTTTGTGTGCCGTTTGTTGGATAAAATTGAATTATGATGCTGGATTCTGTCCCATGGCATTCTCTACACTCTTCAGAAAAGTTTAATGTTAAAATAAAGGCAAAAAAGCAGCAATTATTTGTTCTAAATGCAGAGTTGTGTCTGTACCTTTGTACTTTACTAGAAGAGATTAGCTTGACAAAGAGACAATTTCTATGATTATTATATTTTAAATATGCCCTCCTTACCTCAGTTACTAAATGCAAAGAAGATGCTGTTAATAAAACAGTAGATATGGCCCTTAATATTCATAATTATTGCTTTTTATGTAAATTTTGAGCTAATTTAAGAGCCATATTAGGATAACTTATCTTAATGGAACTACTTAATAAGTACATCCTAATTTCCTATTGGCCAGGTTTATAATTAACATTTATGCTTTAAATTCTGTGTGATAATTTCTACTTTGATTTTATTCCATGTTATGAATAGCATAAATAGGATAATGTTTTAGTTTATATTGAATTTTTTAAATTACATTTTAATTAAAAAAATTTAAAAGTAAGAGTAGGTCACTTTTTTTGCCAATAATTATTCTCAACATACTAAATGGAACATTTATTTTTTGGAGGCTATTTTATTTTGTGATTATACGATCAGTTAATGTTATTCAATGAAAAACAAACAAAATGTCTAAGAGGTAGTATAGGCTACTTTAGATCTCTCCTGTTTCAAAGGAAACGAAATATGAGTTCAGCCTTTTCAGTTAAATTACACAATGGTTTTATCTTATTCTCAGAGCTTCTAGAAAATATATTGGTCTATAATTATAAATAATAACTTCCAGATGCATACCTGGGTGCTTTTTGCCATTCAGTCCAAACAACATTCCAGGAGTTTGATTCTTTCATCTCAAATTTAAGTACATTGTACAATGTTACACCACAATCAAGAGGCAGATCCAAAATGTAAACAAATGCCCAAATGCTCCAAAGAATAGCGATACATACTCATCAGTTTCCAGTACGATCAACAGATTATATTTCAAAAGTCAGATCTTCAGGTCATTTATTCATAAATTTCACATTTTGAAGATGGATGATGTTTTTAGACTCCTGACACATTTCAACAAAATGTAACGGATTTAGATATTCAGTTTCCTACAACAGACATTTTTCTCTTGCATGATATTCTAAAGGGCATTTAAAAATAATACGATGACTGCAATATATAAATTTTTAATAAAGTTGGTAATAGTTGCCTTATCACTCAACTTCTATTGCTTGGCAATTAGAAATAGCTTTGAAGATTATTTTTTTCTTCAGATCAGAGAACAAAGCAAAGGGGGGACATTGGCATTTCCCACCCCATCATACCCAATAATGACCATTGTTGCAGTTTATGTATAGGAGTGGACTCAAATCAATTCAAGTCAATATAATTTATTTAATGAATAGACTATAATAGAATAGAGATTTTTTGAAATTCAGAATGTCTCTCTCCAGGCCAAATAATATTTTTTTTATATACTCACAATGTGATAAAAAATTTAATCACCAGAAGAAAAAGCCAGCAAAAAGCTTCACTTTCTCTTTATTTTCCTTCAGGGCACTGATAAGCAGAATTCAACTATCACCTGTACTATGACATTCAATCCGGTGTCTACTAGCAATGTCTTTTTCAAAGAGTTAGGGTTGACACTTAGTGACTGACAGTAGATCACAAATTGTTATTGTAGGCTATTGAGGTTAACATGTCAGAAAGTGTGAGAGTTTTCTAATTCTGTTTAATTATGTTATCCACGGCAGAATTTGGGCCTAAGTTAAAATCCAATTACAACTTTCTTTGTGTTTTGGAGTAAACAAAAACCTGTTTTCCTTTTTTTTTTTTTTTTAACAGAATGCCAGGGAGCAAGGTTCCTTTATGAAAGAATAATTATCTGTAGGTTTAATATGGAGGATTAATAGATATTATTAATTTTTCTCTAATGTAGGCTAACAGAAAATAAACTGAAGGTCTTGACCAAACCTACTTAATAAAACAGTAGTAGATAATCTTTTCAAAAGAATAATATCACAGTGAATTTCATGAATGATTTCATTTTCCCATCTCACAAATCTACCAAACCATCTGTTGAAGGTTTGGGGAGGTTTTATTTATTTATTTATTTATTTATTTATTTATTTATTTTTAATTAATTGCTTAGCTGTGTTTATTATGAAGCAGAGATTGTAAAGAATCTCAAGTACTATTTTGGAATTAGCTAGTGAAAGTGGAGCAAAAAAAAAAACTGCTGATGACACAGAGATGAGACAGAAAAAATAAAATAATTTCAGACATAAAATCCTTGAGGAAGTCAGAGGAGGCAAAATCCAGTAGCGCAGAAAATGGGTTGGTTGGCCTATAGGTAGGGCTAGGAGGTAGAGGATTTAAGGCTAAGGGTGATATTTGAACATGGCCTCGTAAATTTGTGTCACTCATCAGATCATATTGTAAATCAATAAGAAAATGATATTATAATTATACAATGTTTGATTTTTCAGTAAAGGCACATATGTTTTAATATATTAGCCTGAAAGATTTTCTGATTAGTACTCTTCACTATATTGCAAAGTAAAATCAGAGACAAAAATACATCTTTATTACTGTTAATATAAAGTATTTCCCACTAGGTGAATATTCACTTTGAAAGCTAAATTTCTTAATTGTAAAGTCTATATTGTAGGATTTTTACATATTATTTTAAAATTATTGAGTTAAGAGTTTTCATTAAAATATATATTATTTTACATATTTGAAAGTTATTAAGTATATTCAGAGACCACAAAGATAAAGCCCTTTACATATTCCTCAAATATGTTACTCTGAAAATTGCCATTTCTTTTTGTGCCTTTGTTGTGCATTTGTAAATGTATTTCTTCTATTTCAGGTTTAATGTCTTTTAACAGTACTACTATGCATTTCTTTTTGTAGTTTCTTTTCTTTTGTGAATTTTCTTGGCAATCGATTAACCTAGTAGTAACAGTCTAGTTGTATCTAAAAAATGACCATCAAGACATGTATTGGCAGAGCTGTTACCACTCTGAGCTTTCAAGCTTTCAGTCATTCTAATCAAGTTCTGCTCATGTTGATTCACTGTATCATTGCATCATTGCAGAGACAAATTACAATTGACTGCTGAATTCTAAACCTAAACAATGCTGGTGCAATGAGTCATGCCTATAATCCCAGCACTTTGGTAATTCAAGGAAGATGATCACTTGAGGCCAAGAGTTTGACACCAGTTAAGGCTTTGTATTCATAATATGACCCTCATCTCCACAAATTTTTTAAAGAAAAGATATTAATAGCTGGACATTGTAGCTCCTACCTGTTAGCCCTAACTACTCAGGATATTGAGGCGGGAGGGTACCTTGAGCCCAGGAGTTCAAGGCTGCAGTGAGCTGTGATCACACCACTGCATTCTAGCCTGGGCAACAGAGCAAGACTGCCTCTAAAAACAACATCAAAAAATGAACAAACAAACAAACAAAAGCAAAGCTAATTGTGATACAGAACTTTCCATCAGAATGATTTTGTAACATTTCTTAGGGAAGAATAAGCAGAGACTTGATGACTTCATTCATAAAATCTGAAATCTCCAAGAACTTTTACCATCATAATTTTGTGTTCAAGTTAATACTAGAACATGAGTAGCTCAACCCAACTTCCTCAGCAGAAACACCTAGAATGTTTTCCTAGGAGAGAGATTTGGTAAGTGTCTAGTAATACTCAAGTAGCTATAAAGCACAGCTATAAACAACAATGCTATAAAAACAGCTATACATAAAATAATTTAAACGCAGAACTGCCTGCTCGCTTATGCTTGGAACTGAGGAGTTTCAGTGATAAAATTGGACGGTTCTGAGCAGACTGAGATTGGCGGTCAGCGGGTGAGATAATTGGTGGTTAGTGCTTTAAAGGCTAGAGGTAACGATTATAATAATTAAATATTCGAATTTTGTTGGTGCAATAAATAAATTTAAAATGTGGAAAAGTTATTGCTTTCTTTTGTACTACTAGAGGCAACACCTGATATAGTTTTAGAATTTTGGTTAATAAAACAAAATCTATATCTAATTGAAGAGAGTTGGTTCTTGCCAACTGGGGCAGTCACCCAACAGAACTTAAGTAAAATCCCCTACTCAGCTCTGAAGCCAGTTCTCCAGAGTATAGTGAATAGTGACAATGTGCATTCTAATGCCTTACAGGGAACACCACAAAGAAATGGTCATAGAATATTGCCATGCCCTTTCTTCCATTCCCAAGTGTTGATTTTTGTCACTCAATACTAAAATAAAGAAGTCAAGTTGGGTTTATTATGATAACATGTTTGAATTTTTAAATACAATAAATAATTATATAAGCACTGAAATAAATTGAATTTGCAAATATTTTCTATTCTTACTTGTTTAAACGAAACTGAGAAATAACTGGAACACTGAAGTATTTTACATCTTCGTATTTGTAGAACATGAATATAAAACAGAAATTAAAATTTATATTATTTTTGATATCCATGATATTCCATGATGTTTCAACTTTAAAATGTTTTTCTATTTCTTGTGCATTGAAAGATTTTTGCAGTTATCACAAGGAGTTATTGAATAAATGAGGTTTCAGACTGAACATACCCAGTGTAGTTTGGTTTCTCGATTCACTGGTTATTGATAAACTATTAAATTTTAACAGTCATATCTAAAGATTTTTAAATGTTTATCACAGAGAGAAACTTAATTAAACACATTAGGGCATTTGAAACTTTATTTGCCATACTAAATTTTCCTTTCCAGTATTCGAATGCTGAATTTAGACAATAGCAGTTTCTTGAATACTGACATAATTTTTATCAATTTAGTAAATTAAATATCTTTTAGATATTTCAACACTAAATATAACTTACTAAGATTTCAGCTAAAAATTATTAAACTAACTACAACTAGTTGTTGAACTAAAATATTTTGCAACTATTTATTAAGCTAAAATATATTTTCAAATTAATGTTATAATACTACCATTTGAAAAAGCTAAAACATTTTATGTACTACAAGCACATAAATTGGTAAATATGCAAAACCTCCTTAACACAAAAATATTAATAATATGAGCTTGGTTCTCAGAAACATTTGTCTACTTAGTCCTAAATCTGAGATTAAAAAAAAAAAAAAAAATGCTTATCCAGGCTAAGTGTGGTGGCTCACGCCTGTAATCCCAGCACTTTAGGAGGCTGAGGCTGGTGGATCACTTGAGGTCAGGAGTTTGAGACCAACCTGACCAACATGGTGAAAGCCCACCTCTACTAAAAACACAAAAATTAGCTGGGTGTCGTGGCACATGCCCGTGGTTCCAGCTACTCAGGAGGCTAAGGCAGGAGAATCACTTGAACCCAGAGGCAGAGGTTGCAGTGAACCAAGATCATGCCACTGCACTCCAGCCTGGTTGACAGAGTGAGACTCCATCTCAAAAAACAAAACAAAACAAAACAAAAACCTTATCTACTAAGAAAAAAAAAATTACTATCTTCGTTTAATTGAGATTACTTGAGATTACTTACTATCAGAGATTTAGCCTACATGTGGTAACTGTGAAGCAGCATCATTGTCTGGGGTGACACTCGAGGTTCTTGTTCTCATGGCAAAGGAAATCAAGGACTCAGACATGACAAGGGTAAGGTTTAGAGCATAAATTTAATAGGCGAAAGAAAGAGAACAGCTTTTCGCTACAGAATGGGGTCCCAGAAAAAGGGTTGCCATTTTTACAGTGGAATGCAAAGGCTTTTAAAAGAAACTGATGAGGGCAGGGCATCTCATTTGCATAAAGCATGAATTCTGGTGGCTCCACCCTGTCCTCCTAATGTGCATGCAGGGCCCTTAGCTTGAGTTTCTCCATATTGCTTTGCTCATGGAATTTTCCATTGCGGGCATGTCTGGGCAAGTCACTTGTGTAGTTTTTCTTATCTGTGCAGTTGTGGGCACATCTTAGGCAAGCCCCCTCCCCCCAACCCCACCCCACGTGCAAATTCCCTTATCTGTTTCTACAAGCTGTTCTTTTGTTTGAAAGAATTCAACCAAAGACCCACTCTAACTGCCTGCCTGACTGGGTTTTTTCCATTTGTCTCTCTCAACTGCATGGGACATGTTAAACTTTTTCAGTAGTTTACTTCAGAACGTATATGATCACTTAGCATATGCTGTTGGATTTCAGTTGAAAACAATACATGATTCATATTTCTACTTATAGAGTTATGCAGCTCCCTCTATGGTTGATAAACTGAGTTACATAAACATCTTTCCCCTAACTCTAAAGACTTTAGAACTTAATAGGGTCCTCTGCTGTACAAATTTTAGTTAAAGACTTTTAGACTTGATGAATTCTTGCATCCTTTTATATTTTTTAGGTGTGTAGAACACTGATCAATAATTGAAATGATAATTAATTTTCAGATATTTCACATGGTTTTCTTTAACTTCATATTACAATGTATGTTATTATTTAACTGATCTCCTTCCTTGAGTCAGTGAAAGTCTCCTAATATTTTTGTCATGTTAGCTAATTTTCATATACATTCTTGATAAAAGTGTTGATAATATTGTATATCTAAGAAGGCTCAAAAGATTTTTTTATATTAATCTTCTTATAAAACCATCTTATGTTAATTTGCCATTTGGTTCACTATTATGGCCTTTTCATAGATTCAATGTATTTTAAGTAATTACAGTCATCATTCTCCTTTTGATGCTCAAGTATTCACAACTTCTTTTGTGTGTCCTCTATGTGCTTAGCATGACCATATTACTATTTCAAAGCTTCATTTCTTTCTGACTCAGCCAAGTGTTCCAGATTCTGCTTGTACATTCCTGCTCCTGACATGGGATCAACTAACCCTCCCAAAGATTCCTAGTTACTTTCAACGGAAAAATACTAATAGACAAGAAGACAAAATACAAATAGACCAATAGACATCTGGTATAGGCTGAATTGATCTTAGTCCATTTCAATCAATAGATCTAGAGAAGACTGTACAGATCAACAGATAAAGAATTTTGATGAAATATTTACAGTTCAATTTTTACATTAAAATGCTTGAATCTTTTTTTCATTCAATATATTTTTATCTTCTCTGTTATGCTAGATAATTTGCCTCCTTTTTTTTTTTTTTTTTTTTTTGAGACAGAGTCTCGCTCTGTTGCCCAGGCTGGAGTGCGATGGCACAATATCAGCTCACTGCAAACTCCGCCTCCCGGGTTCAAGCAATTCTCCTGCCTCAGCCTCCTGAGTAGCTAGGATTGCAGCCATGCACCACCATCCCAGGCTAATTTTTGCATTTCTAGTAGAGATGCGTTTTCGCCATGTTGGTCAAGCTGGTCTCAAACTCCTGACCTCATGATCCACCTGCCTCGGCCTCCCAAAGTGCTGGGATGACAGGAGTGAGCCACCATGCCTGGCCTAATGGATAATTTGCTTCCTAATGAAAATGGCATACCTACTTATTTGCTCCATGTGAGAAACAAATAGAAGAAAATAATACAATATTAATGTAAGCGATAAAACTACTGCATAAAGCTTAAGATTTTCTGGATTTCTCCTCATTGTTTAAATCTGACGATGAATGCATAGTAAATTTTTCTTTAATAGATGTCTCATCAACTGTTACTTGTGTGACTATATACTTGCTTATCTGATGGGTCATTTAGTCAATCGTTTTCATTTTCTTTCCATTGGAGTGCACTCTTATTACAATTCTTTATAGTTCTAAGTCAGAAGTTGGTAGATTCTTTAAGACAGTGCTCTTGGTGATTTATCAGGGAAAGAAAGTTCCACCCACTGGTACAATTAGAGCTGATAAGGACATTCCAGCATGTTAATTCCCAAAGTTTTCTATAAACATTTCATTTTGTCATTATTTGATGTATCTACATAATGACATTACGAAGTTATAAATGTATATATTTTAGTCAGCCAAACTTATATATATCTTCTAAGTAGATAATTTCTTCATATTACTATGATATTTAGTAATGTTATGACACTCATTTTCAGTTTTAATTGAATTTTAATTTGATTATATTATTTTTGGAATTAAACATTTTAATTTATCTTGCCTCCTTTTCTGTTCTGTAAATTTTTCTTCTTTTAAAAAACGTACTATGTTCCTTTAACAATAAATATATTATACTAATTGTATTGTTATAAAATACCAAGGTTTATTCTGTATTAGCCCAAATGATTCTTCTGATAACATTAGCTTATTTGGTAGCAGCTTACATGTTAATTTTACTATGTAAGTAAGAGGAACAAGGACCATACTAGTATTTTCCTGCTCTATATTAACATCTGAGAAAAATCTAAATGTAGGATTTTCTGTTTTTACATTAAGTCCCTTTTTGGCTCATAATCAAAGAACAGAATTTATTTTATACAATTTTTTGTAATATCTTTACTTTGTACATAAAGATGACCTTATTGTAGAACTCTCAATTTCTGAGAGGTATTTAAATATGCAAGTCTATTCCATCAATCCAATGGGATTTCAAACCATCAAATTCAATTGAGGATGTTTAAGGTAACAAGACTGTATAAAAATAAAGCACTATTATAATCACAATAATTATAAGAAAACAATTATATATTTCGTATTATTTTATCAAAACATTTAAGGTGAAAATTTTTATTTATATAATTTTATGGTTATCTAGGTGTTTTTAAAACATTAGTACCCAAAATGGTTTTAACAATGCTAGCATATTTCAGTTCAATATAATTTTTTGAAATTCAGTGATTTACAGTGCATTCACATTAAGCTATAGTTATTTAGTTTTGGTATAGAATTTCAATGCCTTGCATGAACTTAAATACACCATTCATCAAACTCTTTATATTACTTGGCTCCACATAAAACCTTAACATCGTTACACACTTTAAAATGAAAGTAAAACATTAAATTTCTCAGTTTTATGCTACATTATTTTTATTGAACTTTGAAACTATAAAAGTGTCTTGATAAGAAATTCCTCACTATACAATAAATGTTTCAGGAATAAAAGAGCAGAACTACCATATGAATCTAGGTAGCACAGCCACCCAGAACCAGCAATTTTAGACCCTAACATTAAGGATAATTCTATTTGCTATCCCATGGCCAGTGGCCTGTTTTAATCAATCCAATTTTAAGTTTCACTCTTTGAAGATAAGACTCCCCCTTTATAGTTTAATTCACAAAGTGTTTTTGACTTTGTAAATTCTGCATTTCCACTAAAAATTTCACAACATATTCAAATTATTTCTATGAAGCTATTCTAACTGAATTTTTCACAATTTGCCTGTGTTATGCTTTGTTAATTTTTATTGTTGGTGGTGGTGGAGGGGACTGGCCTGTGTTACTTTTTTAACTTCTCTCAGAGTATTTTCTTGGAAAAACTTAAGGAGATTTTGCAACTTCTCTGGGGTTTCTCTGAGGGAGGTAATTATGGGCTTTTTCATTTTTTTTAAACAAATCTCATCAAATAAACCTCATCTTTCCAAAGATATTATGACTCCATCTGGAATTCTAAGTCTGTTTATCAGATATTCCAGGATATTAAGATCTGATAATTCATTCAGTAAAATAAACAGTTTGGGGTCATCCATGGTATGGAAAGATATTCTACTTCATTTGCAGTTAGAGAAGGGTAAACTAAGACCACAAGGAGGTACTGATCACAATTCAGAAAACAGATGATAGCAAGGATCAGAGAAGGAATCAATAGAAACTCTGCTTATACACTACTATTAGAAATTTAAATGGCTCCACTGCTTTGAAAAATGTATTTTCTTGTATTTTGGACCATGTTCACACCTTTTGCACTCCTAGATTCATAGCTACATGGCACAAATGAAAAAAATGAGCAGATATATGTATGGCTGGAGCTTATAGAGGGAGGATAGCTTGGGATCCTGTCACAAGGAAAGCCTCTATCCTTAAAACACCAACATATAAGGTTGCTTTTGAACCAGCAGCATGTCTGAGCTGTCATTGAACAAGAAGTCAACGATACGTGTCTGCCAGTTTTTTGATAGTATAACTAACAAACTGGAGCAGGGGACAATGAGAACTGGAAAGCTCCCAAGGGACACAAGTAGCCAGATAGTTCATAATGCACAGGTTCAGAAATAGTGATACAAAGGGTCTCAGGACCCCGATTTCACAGGAACTGGGCAGTAGGAAGGCATAATCTTGATTGAAAACTTTTGAAGATATTAAACTAGACCCTCATAAATGCATAGAATCTTAGAACAGGGAGGGAGAAGAAACGGTGCCTCTTCATACCAATAGAAATCCTATTTATGTATGGAGGGAAAATAAAGTGAGGATTGACTCAAAATAGAACATAAGGAGCAAAGAAGCCACTTTGACAGTGCCTGACAAATAGAGAAATTCTCCTTCAGCTGAACATTATCAACTTTTTGCTTACCTACACAGAGAGATAAACAGTTGCTTGCAATCAGTATTTTAAAATTATTTATTTACAGAAAACATTAAGTTGTATTCCAAAAGTCAAGCGGGGTTGAGGGTAAAGTACTTTACCAGGGAATCTATTTGAACAAATTGAATTAAATTGAAGTAATCTGGGCCCAGAAATTGATACCAGGATATCACCAATGAATGACTAAACATTAAACTGCCCAGCATCATAAATCCATTTTTGGGCTGTAAGTCTCATTCAGGTTTATTTATTTATTTATTTATTTATTTATTTTTGATAGAGTCTCACTCTGTTGCTCAGGCTGGAGTGCAGTGTTGTGATCTCGGCTTACTGCAAGCTCTGCCTCCGGGATTCATGCCATTCTCCTGCCTCAGCCTCCATGGTAACTGGGACTACAGGTACCTGCCACCATGCGCGGCTAATTTTTTTGTATTTTTAGTAGGGACGGGGTTTCACTGTGTTAGCCAGGATGGTCTTGATCTCCTGACCTCATGATCCACCTGCCTCAGCCTCTCAAAGTTCTGGGATTACAGGCGTGAGCCACCACGCCTAGCCTCAGGTGTGTTTTTAATCTAAATTAAGAGACTGAGATTAATAGTGACTGAAGAAAAGCAAAGACAAACACTTTTTCACAGAGGCATATTATATTTCCTTTGTATGATATAAAAATGATGCTTTTACTTTCTACTTCAAGAATGTGGTTTTTCTAAAACATTAAAGTTAATATTAAAAGGTAAATTTATTCCCTTCATTCAACTAACACCAAGAAAAGTAATATCTGTAGAAATTTTAGGGAAACAATGCACAAACTTCTTAATTAGCTACTTAGTATTTCTTTACAGTCTCAAAATTGATATAAAAGTTTCAACACTCACTTAAAATTTTGTTAAAAATCACTAAAACAATATGTTTTCAAAGCATAATAATACTAATACTGGATGTCAGAAGTAAATGGAACAATATCAAACCTTTAAGAGAAACTAAATTATATGTCTAGCATTTTATTCATACCTAATCAAGCAATCAGGTGGAATTAACATATCATACACTTTTTAAATAAGTAAAAATATATGTGCTTATTATAAGTAAATATATTTATAATAATAAAGCTTATTGTTCTTATGCTTATTTTATACACACACACGCACACACTTGAGAAAGGACCATGACAAACAAAAGAAACAAATAAATTCGAAAATATGGACTAAGCGATACTGGAGCAGCTGAGTATAAACTAGAAGATTTGAAACAAAATAGAGAAAAGTGAAATAGGGATCATATAGTCCAGTTGCTTTTCACCATGGCTGTGCATTAGAACTACGTGCAGAGCTTTGGAGGGAAAACACAACACCTAGACATCTGTATTTAAAATAAAACTTCTAAGATAATGCTCATGTGCACTTGGATTTTAAAAGTGATTGTAAGTTTCTCTTACACCTGGCAGTTTTTGTAATATAGAATTCCAATTAATTGTGCTTGGACCAATAATGATACATGGTATCAGAGTGAATAATATTGACATAATGACAGTAGTAAAAGTTATTTATCAGTTTCATGATCAATACATACACAAAAAAAACAAATATATTTGCAAATTATATTGCAATCATTATATTGCAGAGCATGTGCACTGGTGATCTAAAGTTATTCTCCTTGAGCCTTAAGCTGAGCACTGATCAGTGAATATACATGAGAAAACAATCCAAGATCCACATACAAACGGCTTGAAAGAATTTGAGGTAAAAAACAAACAAAAACCAAAAAAATGCAGAATCAATAAAAGACCATGAATAGTTTTTTATCTCGCTAGCCAAAGTACACAAACACACAAAATAAAACCTTAGAATATATTAGCTAGAATACTAAGAAGAGCATTGACTCAATAATTGAGAAAAATTAGACTTGGGCTAAAGGCTGCTCTTACACTGTCTAACCAAGCTTGAAAGCAGGCCTTGAAAGAATCACACTGTTACCAAGTTACCTAGATATGCCCCAGAGCAACTCTCAGGAATATTTATAGGTATATGAAACTATCTAACAGCAACAAGTTAAAATCACAAGGTTGAGTATCCTAAATTATCAGGCATTCAAAAGAGCAAAGCTATGTGTATGTACATATACATACACATGCATATGTATGTATTAAACTTTTAGATATAAAAGGTACATTATCTAAAATAAAATATACATATAAATGTCATGAAAAATACATTGGATAGTACAAGAGAAAACCTTAATAAACTTGAATGCCTTCGAAGCCATAGAAATTACCCAACATAAAACACAGAGAAAATGATAGAAAAAAAAAAGTGGAAAAACCAATGAGCTGGAGAATAAATTCAAGTGGCTTTATTTACATGTAATTGAGGCTGCTGAAGGAAAGAAGGGTGGGATAGAAAAAATATTTGAAGAATTTATGCCCCCAAATTTTCAAAATTTTATAAAAGCTACAACTGCAAATATTAATACAAAGAACTCAACAATCCCTAAGCACAAGAAACATGAACAAACTACATTGAAGCACATAGTGATTCAATCATTTAAAATCAATAAGACAAAAATTATAGCACTCGTGGAGAACCTCTGCTAGGGCAGTGTGGAAGGGAAATGTGGGGTGGGCAACCCCACACAGAGTCCCTACTGGGATGCTGCCTCGTGGAGCTGTGAGAAGAAGGCCACCATCCTCCAGACCCCAGAATGGCAGATTGACCCATAGCTTGCACTGATTGCCTGGAAAAGCCACAGACACTCCATGCCAGCCCGTGAAAGCAGTGGGGAGGGAGGCTGGACTCTGCAAAGCCACAGAGGCAGAGCTGCCCAAGACCATGGGAAACCACCTCTTGCATCAACGTGACCTGGATGTGTGACATGGAGTCAATGGAGATAATTTTGGAGCTTTAAAATTCGACTGCCCCACTGGATTCTGTACTTGCATATGGCCTGTAGCCCCTTTGTTTTGGACAATTTCTCGCATTAGGAATGGCTGTATTTACCCAATGCTTGTATCCCCATTGTATCTAGGAAGTAACTAACCTGCTTTTGTTTTACAGGCTCATAGGTGGAAGGGACTTACCTGTCTCAGATGGGACTTTGGACTGTGGACTTTTGAATTAATGCTGAAATGAATTAAGATGGGACTGTTGGGAAGGCATGATTGTTTTTGAAATGTAAAGATATAAGATTTGAGAAGAGCCAACTGTAGAATGATATGGTTTGGCTCTCTGTCCTCACTGAAATCTCATCTTGAATTGTGCTCTCATAATTTACACATGTTGTGGGAGGGACCTGGTGGGAGATAACTGAATCATGAGGTGGCTTCCCTCATACTGTTCTGCATACTGTTCTCGTGGTAGTGAAATAAGTCTCATGAGATCTGATGGTTTATAAGGGGTTTCTGCTTTTGCTTGGGTCTCATTCTCTCTTGCCACTGCCTTGTAAGAAGTGGCTTTGGCCTTTTGCCTTGATTGTGAGGCCTCCCCAGCTACATGGAATTGTAAGTCCATTAAGCTTATTTTTCTTCCCGATCTCAGGTATGTCTTTATCAACAGCGTGAAAGTAGACTAATACAGTAGTGAACCCAAAATTAACTACACTGAGATATTATCCAGCAATAGTAAACTTTGGTAGGTTATTGCAAAAATAATTAAATTATTATCTCTGTGCTTTATGCAACCTCTGAGAAAATTTCTTTTAAAAAGGTATGCCAATATGATTTGAATATAATTTTAATAAAGTCTCTTGCTATAGTTTAGAGACAAATCTGTCATCCTTATGCATGTCTCATTTCATTTACTAAGTGCTGCATCTATTATGGTGAAGTTTGCTTTCTTTCTTTCTTTCTTTCTCTTTCTTTCCTTCTCTTTTTTTGCTGAACATTCCTTTTTTTCCCCTTCTAATATATTATATGTTATAATTATCTCTCATGAGCAGGGGTCACAAACTTTGTCCTTAAAGGGCCTGTCTTAATCTCCTCAGGCTGCCATAACAAAATACCAGACTGAGTGGGTTAAACAGTGGAAACTTTTTTCTCATAATTATGAAGGCCAGAAGTCCAAGATCAAGGTGCTGGCCTGGTTGATTTCTGGTGAGGGCTCTCTTCCTTTCTTGTAGATAGCCATCTTCTTGCTATGTCCTAACATGGCAGGGAAAGAGAAATAGAACAAGTTCTCTGGTGTCTCTTTGAATAAGGGCACTAATCTCCTTATGAGGGCCCCACCCTCAGGACTTCATCCAACCTTAATTACCTCCCAAAGGCCCCATCGCCAAATCACATTGGTGGTTAGGGCTTTGAAATATAAATTGCCAATAAACATAATGTTGTCTATAGCATGGTCAGATAAAATATTTCAGGTTTTGTAGACCACATACATCTTTGATATATAGTTTTTTGGTTTTTGTTTGTTTTACAAATCCTTTAACCTTTCTTAGATCCCCAATAGTACAAAAACAGGCCCAGAGGTTGAATTTGAACTGTGGACTAATGGTTTGCCAGTCTCTGTTCTGTAGAGTCTGCTAAGAAGATAGCTATGTCCCAATAGTTAGCATTTAGTAAGTGCATTAACTGTTCCAGAAAGTCTTTTACATGCTGGAAATTAATTATAGTTAATTAGTTACACTTCATTAAATATGCACTATTATTTTATCCCACTTACAGATAAAGCTGGCCCTGAAATGTTCAGAGATCTGCTCAAGTTTATTATAATGAACTCATATATGGAAATGGCAAAATTTACAAACAAAATCATTTGAGCTCACATCTTACACTTGAAACCATTATGCTAAGTGGCCTCATATTTTATGTAAATTTGATTTAAAATTATCATGATGCATTCCGTGGGAACATTGTGATTGCAATTAGCATGTGAACTGGATAGCCATTGATTTAAACTTTGAATGGAAGCAAATAATGAGGTGAGTCTTTCACTTATGACCTTACTCTTCTTCGTGAACTTCCTGGTGTTACACAGGGCAGAGTCCCAAAGTAGAATTATTAACAGCACTTTCTAAACACTAACCTCCTGCTTTTCTTACTCCTCATCCCGTCTTTCCTTGGAACTGCCAAGGTATCAGATAAAATGTAAAATAGAGAAAGCCTTCGAGAGGACTAAATTGTATTGCAAAATAAAGGGAAAGACAAAGATAGCAGGTACTATAAATAGAATCGGGGTTGGAAAAATTTTTAGAGAAATTTCAGAAAGAGTAAAGCTTTGGGGGCAGCTGTCAGGTGAGAAAACACGTATGGAAACTTTCATTGAATGAACTGTGCCCCTCTCCTCAGTGTTCTCAAGATACACTTTTAACGAAATATCTACACATTTTAAAATTTTTTGGGAGCTAGGTTTTTGGAAATGTTACAATGCATGGGGTAGGACCTGAAGTCAAGTAGAAAAATAGGTCAATTTTCTCTGGGTTATTCATAACAGTGGCATATATTCCACGCTGTCTATGATGTTTTAACTTCCTTGGATCATTAAACGTGGAAAGCATATTCAATGCTAGTAGCCTTTCTGAGAGACAACAGAAGACTTGATTTTATTCCTCATTTTACCACACCAAACTTCTATTTTTCACATTGATTTCTTTTGCACTTTTATAAAAACTTTTCTACAAAGTTCTTTTAATTTTTTTTTCCCAAGACAACTTTTATACTTTTTTAGAAACCAACTTTATGGATAAGCCCCACATCCTGATATTACCTACATAATCCATTTTTAGTGACAATTTTGCAGGTAGGCTGACAGCTTCTATTATCGTATCAATTTACAAGGATGGTAAACAAATTTAGACCATTCATTAGTAGCCAATCTTCACATTTTCTCCAAGATAGAGTTATCTTACAAGATTAGTAAGTTATCAGCTTTTGGAGGGGAAAAAAAACCTTCCATTCTTCTATTTTTAAATAATCACCTTTTTTGAATTTATTTTCTGTACTTTCGTCCATTCAGATGATAACAGCACTGTACAGCAATGATTTTTACATTTAATAGCCATAGAAATCCTCTGGTGATTCTTAATAGCACCCCACTATATAATGCTACTTTTGGACTCTGGTCTGTGTAACAGTAACAAAGCAATACCAGGAAGTTCACTAAGAAGAGGGAGGTCATAAGTGAGAGACTCACATCACTGGTGAATGAGATTCTTATTCTGTAGATCTGGAGTGGGGCCTTATATTCTACACTAAATTTCTACCAAGCTCCCAAGTGATATCAATGGGGCTGACCTGTAGACCGTACTTTGAGTAGCTAGAGGGTAGTAGAAGAAATGATGGCAGGAATTTTGGTCTCAATACACCCACATAGAGCAAAACTGTTTCACTGCCCTTGACCACTCATCTGAGGATTTTTAAGTGAAAGGGAAATAAATTTAGTGTCTTTAAGCTACTGTGTTTTAAGATTCTTCTTTTTATAGACACTAGAGTTCACCTAAACTAAAACACAAGGTTTTATCATGTTTTGTCATCTTCAGTTTTCCTCATGATCCAAAATGGCAGCTGAAGCTCTCATAATAATATCTACATTCTACATTGACAGCAGGAGAAACAAAATGCCAAGTGAGTATCTTTATGTTTCTAAGGACATTTCCTGGAAGTCACACACAATACCCCTGCTTGCATATTATTGACTAGAACTTGTGATATGTACATAATTATCTGAAAGAGAGGCTGAGAAATTTAGTTTTGATTCCATTGAATTATGGTTCTTTATAAGTAGAATGAGCACAGAATTTATTGTACAGACACTATTTCTGATAGTGAAATGGAGTGCTATTAAGAATTATTCTGGAAGAAGATATTTAACCTAGCTCTACTGAGGCAAACTGAAATACATGTATATTCTTGTTTTAAAGCAGAAAAGAAAGAATGAATGTTAGAATGAAAACTTTTAGTTGCTGTCATATAATGCTCCCCAAGAATCATTTGGACAGAGAGTATGAAATGAGATATGGAAGACAAATCACACACTTTGACACAGCTTTCTTTAAAATGTTGGCTTAATTCCTAAAGGATTTTATTATAAATTTTATTTATAAAATTGCTTTTTGAGTGAGAAACTTCTTTTGAATGATCAAAGATTAAACATATAGTAGGTCAAACCCTCAGAGAAATTATGCTTTTTACACCTGAGAAATGATATTATGGAAAGCTGGGGCTATTTCCAGGAAGTGCTACTTATTCGTAGATACAGAACATTACTGAGACGCCGCCAGAATGGCAAGTATCAGAGTCTGATATAAGATGGAGGCTATTGATATATTAAAAGCCCAGACTGTGAGATCATCTGAGTCCTTGAGGGAAATAGCCCTGTGATTACTGAGTTGAAATGCCCAAATATTCATGAGCAGGGAGGATCCAGGGAGCTATCAAGTGGTAAGACATAAATACCTACCAGAAAGCTTAGATATTAATGTCTATATATATGATGTGGCTGGAGATTTTGGTTCAGGAATTCTGACTACACGCCTTCGGATTCACAAGTATGCCAGCTTCCAATAGTTTCAGGCTGATGTTATGTTAAGTGAAATCTCAATTTTGACTTAACCTGACAAAATGTGACCATTATCCTTTTTTTTTCTTTTTTGAGATGGAGTTTTACTCTTTTTACCCAGGCTGGAGTGCAATGGCGCAATCTCAGCTCACTGCAACCTCTGCCTCCCTGGTTCAAGTGATTCTTCTGCCTCAGCCTCCCAAGTAACTGGGATTATGTGTGCCCACCACCACACCCAGCTAATTTTTGTATTTTTAGTAAACACAGAATTCCACCATGCTGACCAGGGTGGTCTCAAACTCCTAGCCTCAAGTAATCTGCCCACCTCTGCCTCCAAAAGTGCTGGGATTACAGACATGAGCGACAGAGCCTGGCCTATTTATGCAATTCTAAGAGATAAAGTCCAAGCAAAAGCAGAAACTATTTGTTCCTGTTTCTATTCTAGGGTTGTGTATAGCCCCTGGGTCCTATCTCCAACTATTCCCAAATAAAAATTTGAAACTTTATTTTTTGTAGCACAAAGATAAATAAAGAAGAAAGCCCAAGCCAGAAGTTCAATTTATCTTTTCTATGAAAGGGATACAGCCTGAGTTTAGAATATGCTCAAGATAAAATTCAAATAACACATAACATTTTTATAGAGGTAAATGTGATCGCAATTGGAAGTCATAAACTTATATGAATATAGGAAATATTTGATAATTAATGGTGTAATGTCTCTATCCTATAGATCGATGTCTGTTACACACCCCATCTCCATGGAGGTTTTTAATAACTAAGACAAAATGAAAATAGATATTTGATGGGATACATGGAAAATAAATGTGGATAGTTATACCTGATTTTGGATTGCCCTGCCTAGTTTACCAGGGAACCAGTAATGTTTAGTATTGCTATAGTCTGAATGGTTGTGTCTCTCCAAAATTCATATATTAAAATTCTAACCCCCAAGGTAATAGTATTAAGAGATGGGGCATTTGGGAGGTGCTTAAGCCATAAGGGTGGAGACTTCATGATTAGGACTAATGGACTTATAGAAGAGATCCCAGAGAGCTTAGTTAGCACCCTCCACCATGTGAGGACACAGCAAGAAATCAATGTCTATGAGAAAGTAGGCCCTCATCAGACACTGAATCTGCTAGCAGCTTGATTTCAACTCACCAGCCTCCAGAACTGGAGAAATACATTTCTGCTGTTTATAAACAACCTAGTTTATGGCATTTTGTTTAAGCTGCCTGAAACTAAGACAGAAAGTTGCTATCTAGAGGGAATGAAGATGTGACTAATAGCTAAAATGTGGAAGAAGCTTTGGAATGGAATAATGGGTAGAAGCTGGAAGGGTTTTGAGATGCATATTAGAAAAAGCCTACATTGCCATGAATAGACTGTTAGAGGTGATTCTGTTGAGATCCCAAAAAGAAAAAAACAGTGATATAGAGGAAGCCTCAGCTTGGGTATTTCTTAGAAAATACTTAGTGATTCTGAACAGAATGTTAGTAAAAATATGGATGGACACTTTCTTCATTCTTTTTGCTCCTCTGACTGAATGATTTCCAATGACTTGTCTTTGAGTGCACTGATCTTTTCTTTGGCTTCATCTAGTCTGTTATTGAACCTCTCTAGAGAATTTTGTGTTTGTCAGCTCCAAGATTTCTGTTTGGTACATTTAAGTATTTTCTGTTGAAATCCTCACTTTGTTCATTCATTGTTCTTTTGATCTTAGTGAGCATGTTTGTTTTGAATTCCCCGCCAAGTTAATTAGCTACCTTCCTTTCATTAGGGTTAGTTTCTGTAGATTATTGTGTTCTCAGGTTTAGAACATTGTTGCCTGATATTTATTTTCCTTAATTCTTTGTGTTGGTATCTGTGCATTAGACAAAGCAAGCACCTTTCTCAGTCTTCACAGACTGGTCTTGTATAGAAGACCCCCACCAATCAGCCTCACACAAGATTCTGGGGGGGTTTACCAGCTCTTTGCTTCTACACAGAGAAGCAGGCAGCTGTGTTTTTTTGTCCTCTGCTGTATGCTGAGCTGAACATAGGATCTACAGCATCTAGCAGTCCAAAGTGCCATCTCAGTTCTCTACAGATGGCTAGACTGTGCCAGACTTATCAGAGTCCCAAGACTAGCAAGTCAGATCCCTGTCCTTTGACACATGTATTAACTCCTCCCCTCCCCTGGGAGAATCCGGGAGCTAAGGCTGTGTCTAGTCCACATTTTATGGCACTATGTCAGAGAGGAAGTAAAGTTTCTAGGAAGTGGGTATCCTGAATCTCCGTACCAGCTTCTGTAAGTGTGGTTTTGTGTTTGCCTGAGGTGCAGAAGTCTTTCAATTAGTTTTTAGATTTATCACAAAAGAAATTTGTCAGTGAATTTCTGCATAATCAGAGTGTTTCTGGGAGTAAGGAGAGTTTAGGACTTTCAGGTGTATTCTCTTGCTTTTATTAGATTTTTTTTTTCAGCTCTTCCCTTTGGAAAGTATACCCCAAGTTATTTGAGGGCTTTTGCTACATTTTACCATTTATTACACAAATCTATTTATAGATATAAGTAATCAAGATCTGTTTCTTTATTTAAAATACATAAATGTCCCAGTAAGGACTCAGGAACAACATGGGCAAAGAATATGGTGAAATAGTCTTGGATCAAGTAGGTCTGACATTACTGTTTGATTTCAGAGCTACACAAAATACTCTGGGCACATAATGTCTTCATACAGGTAAATCCTAGAACTGAAAATTTTTAGGTATAATTAATTAATTTTACCATAGCAATTACAGAGAATTTTAAATCTTCTTGGTGTTAGTGATGTCCACAATATTTTTGCCAAGGATTATTACCTAATGGAAAACTACTAAAATACTCCTCTTGAAGACACAATGTTTTTAAGTGAGTAACCCCTAGAAAAATGTAAAAATAACACAGGGTTACAAAAACTCATGAATGCCCTGGTGCAACAACCTTATGGGAAATATTAGAGAAGACCTAGGAAATCTAGCAGAATGAGTAGCACTCCTAACTAGCCGTCTTTGTCCCTAGTAAACATTTTTATTCATATAGTTTTTTCTCTTTTTTTGAGATGGATCGTACTCTGTCACCCAGTTGGCATGATCTCGGCTCACTGCAACCTCCACCTCCAAGGCTCAAGCAATTTTCTTGCCTCAGCCTCCCAAGTAGCTGGGATTATAAGCACTTGCCACCATACCTGGCTAATTCTTTTATTTTTAGTAGAGATGGGGTTTCACAGTGTTGGCCAACCTGGTCTCAAAATCCTGACCTCAAATGATCTGCTCACCTCGGCCCCCCAAAATGCTGGGATTATAGGTGTAAGCCATCATGCCTGGCCTTTTTATCCATATAGTTTTTTGGTCTAGATGTTGTACTAAATGTATTCAGACAAAGAGGCTGTAACAGAGGCTGATAGATATTAATGGTTAGTAGCTGTCCAATAGTGAGTTCTGAAAAATACTCTAACCTCAAATTAGAATTCACAAAAACTACTGACATGATATTGATGCAGGATATCTCGGTTCCTTTGCTGGACTTGCATCAGGGCACCCTGTTTGCTTGGCCTGCCATGTCCAACCCCTTGGAGGGAGCATGTGAGCCAGCAGCTGTAGGATCCAGCCAGCCGCTCCATGCACTGGCAGGTTCAAGCTCCATGTGGGGCCCGCAGTAGTGTCCAGGTTGGGGTGCCCATAACCCCAAAGCCCCAAAGGGGATGTTACAGTCCTCTCTTAGTTCTGTCATCTGTGAATGGCAGTGTGTTAGCAGCTCAGTTGGCCCCTTGCCTCATCATGTGGGGCAGACACTCTTTGCTGGTGAGGACAAAGGGCCGGTGGGACAGCCTTTCTGGGTACCTGCACTTGGTGAGTCTCGAGATCTTTTCAGGTGTTCAAGGAGAATGAGGTTGCACAGACAATGGAAGGATGGTGAAGGGAGAGAATTTTATTAAGCAGTGAAAACAGCTGTCAGCGAAGAGGGGATCTTGAGAAGAAATGGGAAGGGCAGGTAATCTTCCCCAAAGTCAGGTCAGGTTGTATCTTCTGAAGTTTGGCCTTCTCTTCCCCAAATTCTGGCCATCTCTTCCCCAAAGTCCAGCTATCTCCACCTCTACCAACTGAGTCTGGGGTCTTTACAGGCACAGGATGGGAAGTGCGTGCTGATTAGTTTGTGAGGAGATAAAGTAGGTTAAAGTGAAGACACCACTCAAATGTGGGAACAATAGTGTAGAAAACCAATTAGGAAAGAGTAGGTATATGTGAAATAGGTGACGGTGAAATATGTGAAATATGTGATTATCCTGTGGGGTCAATCACAGGAAAGTGTGTCAAATGGGAAGACAAGTTCTCAATTCAGTCTGACGATTTCACTTGTAGCTTGGCTCTCAGGCTTTAAACTATCTTCAGCTTGGAGGCAGGGTTTCACCAAGTACCTGCCCCTATCTGCCTAGGCATTTGGCTGTCTCCTGTCACTATCGATATGAGCAAACATGTTCTAAAGCTGTTCAGAGTAGAGTCGAAGAGTAATTAAATAATAAAAGTTCTGTAGGCCAATTTAGTACTGCTCCATTATTGCACAAGTGTTTCAGATTTATTAAAGAACAGGTTTCAGCAATAAGAATGCAGATTCCCTTTTCATAAATTAATCAGTTTGCATGCCATGGAAATGAATTATAATAAAAGGATCAGAATACTTTGGTACCACAAAGAAGAAGAGTAGGATATGATATTAAGTGGGGCAGGTGACTTTCCTCAATTCAGACTAAAGTAAGTTATCTCGGTTAAGATGGAAAAAAGTGGATATAAGCATAATGGATTGATCTTGAGTTGGGGTAAAGATTAAAGGAAAAAGAAGACTACAGAATGCTCTGGGCCAAAGATTTAACACATTCTCCCAACAATTAAATTTTGCCAAATTACAACATAAATAAAACTCACTAATGGGGTGCTATACCAATTAGTAACCTGCAGTTCATCTCACTAATGGAGTGCTGTACTAATTTGTAACTTCAAAAACAGAGCAAATAATTGATGTTTTCCACTGAATAGCAAGGTCTGGTTTTGAGAACATTACATAATCAATTTAATTTCATTAGAACAAAAATGGTAATAAAACTGATCTGGATCCAGTTTGTCTGGTACCAGATGTCATAAGAACTCAAACCTCAATTGAAGACGTATTTCAAGTGTCAGATTACCTAGCTGAATTTAGAAGTTCTTCAAATTAGAATATATAGATGACTTGTCCTTGGAACGCTGTCAGAATACAGGAAGTAGTATAACATTATTTAATCATTTCCTCTTATATTAAGGCTTAAGTAATCCGGAACAAAAGGCAGTTGCTAATTTGCAACTTGCAGCTAATTTGCTAATAGAGAATGTATATCACATTTTTGTATACCTCTAATGACACTACAAATAATGCCACTCACATTTTAACTTGTTCTTTGAAATTTGAAACGGAAAGCAGAGAGGAAATAAAATAAAGAATCTTAACTGCCCATTGATCGTTTGAGGATATGTACAGGAGATCTGTGAGGCATTGAAGAAATTGTAGGGGAAAATTCTAGGAATTCAACCAGTGAAGGATGCTGAGTCAAACAACCTCTGGAGCTCTTAACTAGGAAAATTCTTAGCAACACCTCATTCTTTAGAAGTTAGATATTTTTCTAAATGTTTTCAAGTAACTCTAGGGAACAAATTGTATAATAAATAGCACTAGCCATAGATGTACTGGTTTTTGATTACTGAACATTTTAATTACTTATATTAAAAGGTTTATCAGGAATTCATCTCATGTGGATACTGATGAACTGTTTTTTTGTTCAATATTTAATAAATTTTTTTATTTAAAAGAAATTGCAGGGAAAAATACATGTAAATGTGCATAATGTGTTTGTTTACATATATATGTACATACATACCAAATTCCATCTTGCTAGCTGTGAAAATCATAAATCTCTAACTTTTAAAATAGTATATATTTCTGAGTTTTCTAAAATATAAACTTTTTTTCCACAGGGCATAGTTATTGTAAACATGCTTTGTTATTTCTTGTTGTAATTGAAAAATATACAACAGAGACTTACACTTTATTTACATAGTAACCATACAGAACAATGTTTCAAATTCATAGAGAAATGGTAAATGGTACGCATAATAAAGTAGTTTAAGGTTAAAAGTATCTATGTTTAATACTTATGTGATTATGACAGAATTTTTGTGTTCAAATTGCTTTTTGCAGAATAATCTTATTTCATATTAAAACTTTGGATAACTGGCACAGCAAGGTAAGTAAAATCTGACAAGTCCAAGACTTTCAAACTGGATTACTAATAGTTAGATTCTAAAGAAAGAAGGTGGCAGTTAAAATAATAAATTAATAATCCAAATTTTAAAGATGCTTTATCTTTAAAAATAGTGTGAACCACATTTTTATTCAATATAGTATTGGAATCACTAGCCGGAGAAATTCGACAAGATCAAGAAATAAAGGGCATCCAAATTGGAAAGCAAGATAACTAATTGTCCTTGTTTACGAATGACATCATCTTATATTTACAAAAAAAACCTAAATATTCCACCAAAAAACTGTTAGAATCAATAAACAAATTCAGTAAACTTTCATGATACAAAGTTAACATACAAAAACTAATTTGAAGAGCAAATTTCTGCTTGCCAATAGAAAACAATTTGAAAAAGAATTCAAGAAACAATTCCATTTACAATAATTACAAAAAAATACTTAGGATTTATGTAACTAAAAAGTAAAAAATCTTTACAATGAAAATAATAAAACACTGATCAAAGTTATTGAAAAGGGCTCAGAGAAATAGATAGATATTCCATGTTTATGGATCAGAAGAATTAATATTGTTAAAATATTAATACTACCTAAAGCAATCTACAGATTCAATGCAATCCCTATTAAAATGCCAATGACATTCTTCACAGAAACAGAAACTTTCATAGGTTATCCATGATCATTTTTTGATTCATATGGAATCACAAAAGTCTTCACATAACCAAAGCTATCTTGAACATAAAGAAGAAAGCTAGAGGAATCACACTCCAGGACTTCCAAGGAAACCTTTCACTTGTTGGTAATGTAAATTAATACAGTAACTATGGAGAACAGTATGGAGGTTCTTCAAAAAACTAAAAATAGAACGACCATATGATCCAGCAAGCCCACTGCTGAATATACATGCAAAAGGACAGAAATCAGTGTATCGAAGAGAGATATGTACTCCATGTTTTTTGCAGCACCATTCACAGTAGCCAAGATATAGAATCAACATGTCTGTTGATAAATGAATGCATAAAGAAAATGTAAGATAGCTGTATATGTGTATTTTTCTCAATTTTTTATATCTGAATAATATTCCATTGTGTATGTATCATATATATTATATTCCACTGTATGGTGTGTATATATATTGTGTGTATTATATATTATGATATATAATGTATAATATATGTAATATATATCACATATATAATATATAATATATAGCTATAGTATATATTATAATATATGTATAATAGATACAATGGAATATTATTACAATGGGATATTATTCAGCTCTAAAAAAGAATGAAAATCTGTCATTTGCACCAACACGTCTGGAACTGGAGGACGCTGTGTTAAGCAAAATAAGCCAGACACAGAAAAATAAATATTGCATGTTCTCACAAATATGTGGGAGTTTAAAAAATTTATCTCATGGAAGTAGTGACTACAATGGCAGTTACTAGATGCTGGGAACAGTAGGAGTGAACGAGAGATGAAGACAGATTGGTTAATGGGTACAAAAATGCAATTACTAGAAGGGATAAGTTCTAACATTTCATAGAACAGAAGAGTGACTATAGTTAACAAAAATGTATAATAGATTTCAAAATAGCTAGAAGAGAAGATTTGGAATGTTCCCAACAAAAATAAATAATAAATGTTTGACATGATGAACAACCCAATTATCCTGATTTGATCATCGTACATTAAATCCATGTACAAAATATTACATGTACCTCATAAATATGTACCGTTATTATGTATTAATAAAACAATAAACATAATGTGAACCAACATCATCAATAATTCTGTTCAGGTAGAAAGAAATGTATATTACATTGGTCCATGCTGCCATAGAACTTAGAACTGTGCCTACCCAGTGAATTTGCTCATAATTGACTAAGAGTCCTGTTCCATCCTATTTCTCACTTATCTGCCAGCAGTCAACCTAAAAAGATACCTTTCAGCTTCCAAACTTGAGCAGTTATCTTAAGCTACTACAATCTCCATTAAAAGCCAAACCAAACAGACAATCTTTTTCAATCTTTTTTTCAGAAAGAGCTCATTCAGGGACTTCTGGAATAAGTTTGGAGTGATCCTCCCACATTCATTGGAGAAAAATCTGTTTATGCTGGCTGCTTCATTTTTCATCTAAAAAAGATGTTAGTCGGGCACAGTGGCTTGCAACTGTAATCCCAGCATTTTGAGAGGCCAAGGCGGGTGCATCATTTTAGGTCAGGAGTTCGAGACCAGCCTGGACAACATGGCGAAGCCCTGTCTCTAATAAAAAATACAGAAATTAGTCCAGCGTCGTGGCAGGCGCCTGTAATTCCAGTTACTCAGGAGACTGAGGCATGAGAATCGCTTGAACCCAGGAGGCAGAGGTTGCAGTGAGCTGAGATCGCGCCACTGCACTCCAGCCTAAGCGACAGAGAGAGACTCCGTCTCAAAAAAACAAAACAAACAAACAAACAAACAAAAAACTGTTGAATCACAGTATAAAGGTTAGGTGATTATAGGATATTTTGGGAATAAGGTGGAAAAACAACTATCTTTTATAATTATAGAAGCTTTTGTATAAGTGATACAAATTGTTGTAACAGAATTTACATTCAATTTGAATTATTTCACGCATATAAATAACAGTTTTATGAAAATGGTGAGTCAATGGGAATTTGATGCAAGACAAACAACAACAAAAGATGGGTAGTTATTAGATAAGTACGTATTTAATGTTTTGTCATAATCTGTCAACAGTGAGTGGAATGAAAACAGCATAGATCTTGAGAGAAGTTATCTCTTCTGCTAAAATGAGGGCCAATTGACTATAGTCAATTAATTTAACAGCCTAAATATCTGGCTAAAATATAGTGTATAGAAGTTTCATCTGCCTAATTCATAACAAAAATATACAATTCAGTATGTATATGTATATGTATGTATACTTATATACCTAATTTCTAACAAGAAATTAGAAATTTGGTGGCATATATATATACGTATATATATGTGTATATATATATACACACATACATATATATATATATACACCTTAGCTAAGGTGTTTAATTTTGTTTATATTCTTTGCATGAATTTATAGGTTATTTTTACTTAGTATTGAAAGGACTGTTAAAAGTGTCATTCATTTTAGTCACACAGATCAGCACCAGTTGCAAAGCACACGTCAAATGATCATGAAATGACAAAGATGCAAATTTAGTGTATCTGCTAATAAACAATCTAATTTTACCCAACTTACACTTGTGTAAAGAATTTTAGGTCCAGAATGATGAGAAATACAAAGCCCCATTTCTTAAGAACAGCAAAATGCTATGACTTTCTCATGTAATTTGAAATTAGCTTATGGGAAAAAATTAACAATCCTGATTTTCTGCATCCAGGAATACATGTTCAAGAAAATTGGTTTTACACAGATAACACCCTATGTAAGCATAACCAGAGAATTTTACTTTTTTTCCTGTAAGTTGAGATAATTTAAAAAAATCTTTGACTACCAATTCATAGTGGGTATTTTTTTTTTTTTTGTAGAAAACAAGATTATGCTTTAGGATAGTTTCCAATATTTAAATATTTGTTACAGTGCAGTGACATGATACTGGATGAGCCACAGAAGCTGCCTTTTCTATAGCTAAGTTGCACAATTTTTTTATGAAAATAAGGGGTAAAAAGCATTTTAACTTCTTAAATCATTTTGAGAAGACAAAAATAGATTTTAAAGAGACCATGATTATTTATGTGCTGCTTTCCCTAAACTACTAAAATATGGTAGGAACACTGACATATTATTGGCCATATTATTGGGAGTAGTAATAAGTAATATTTAATGAAACATACATACTGTGCAATATTTATTCTTGGACTAGATACTATTAAGCAGTCGCTGTTTTATTTGGTTTCCTTAATATTTTTTGGTTATTAAAATAACTTCCCTGATAAATTTGATGCAAGTCTTTTGTTTTATAAGCTTTGATATGTTAAAAATACTATTTTGAAATAGTTATTTTAATATTTACATACTATCAGCATTGTGTAGAAATGAAATTGAGTTCTATATGCCATTTTAAAAATCAAACAGTCTTGCTCCATTTATTAATTAGATTCCTTGGTGTTTTCCATGTTGACAGGCATATCAGCTGCATAGTATTTTTGAGTCTTTCTTTCTAACTTATGTCTTTGATTTCCTTATTCAGCTGCCAAGGCTGGAAGAAGTATAGGAGACATTGTCTTATACCTTATTTTAAGGGAGAATACTTTCAAACTTTAACCATTAATAGTATTTGTTGAATATTTTTTCACAGATGCAACTTATGACGTTAAAGAACTTACCTTCTATCCTGATTATGCTAACGGATATTTTTAAAATATAAATCAACATTTAATTTTATCATTTTTCATATAATTTTAAATTATTAAATACCACTTTTTAATTAATCTTTTAATATGGTGTATTAGTCCACTTTCACAGTGCCATAAAGTAACACCTGAGACTTAGAGGTTTAATTGACTGACAGTTCTGTATGATTGGTGAGGCCTCAGGAAACTTACAGTCATGGTGGAAGGGGAAGCAGGAACATCTTACATGGTGGCAGGCAAGAGAGTGTGTAAAAGAGGAACTGTCAAACACTTATAAAACCATCAGCTCTCATGAGAACTCACTCACTGTCATAAGAACACCATGGGGGAAACCACCCCCATGGTCCAATCACATCCCATCAGGTCCCTCTCTCAACACGTGGTGATTTTGGGGATTACAATTTGAGATGAGATTTGGGTGGTGACACAGAGCCAAACCATATCTCATGGTGAGCTTCATTCATTAATTTTTTCATATAAAATCAAAATTTTATTTCTGGAATAAACATAATTGGTAAACACAAAACAGTACAATTTACAATAGCTCCAAAACATGAAATACTTAGGGATAAATCTAACATGTGCAGGATCTGTATGCTGAAATCACTGTTGGAAGAAATCAAAAGGGTCATAAATTGGGAGACTCAGTAGAGTTCTATGCTAATTCTCCCCAAATTGATTTACAGATTTAACAAAACCTAATAAAAACACAAGCAGTAAGTTTTGTAGATATAGATAAGCTGACTTTAAGATTTATATGAAAAGGAAAAAGCATTAGAATAATCAGGAGTTTTGAAAAAGAAAAATGAAGCTGAAAGAATTACACTAACCGATTTTGAGATTTGCTATAAAGATACATTAATCAAGACAATATGGTGTTAGTGAAAGGATAGACCCATAAATCAATGGAACATAATAGAGGGTCCAGAAATAAATCCACACAAATATGGTTGATTGATTTTTAAAAGTTGCAAGAATTCTGAAAGGTGAAAGACAGCCATTGCTACAAATATGCCATAACAAACAAAAAAGCCATTCTTGACTTATACAATACTCTATGATGTTAATCAAAGGGTTGGGGATCTAATGTACAGAATGGAGATTATAGTTAATAATACTGTACTGTTTACTTGAAATTGGATAAAAGAGCAGATTTTAAGTATTCTCACTACACACACACACACACACACATACACATACACAAATACACACTCAAATGGTAACTGGGTGTTGATCAATGTATTAATTTGATTGTGATATCATTACATGACATATACATTTATCAAAATCATCACATTGTATACCTTGTATAGGTACCATGGTAATTGGCCAATTAAATATTTCTAATAAAAGAAGAAAATTAATTCAGGTGGACAATAACAAAAATAAGTAGGCTAGGAGTGGTGGCTCACACCTGTAATTCCAGCAGTTTGGCAGGCTGAGGCAGGCAGATCTCTTGAGCTCAGGAGTTTGAGACCAGCCTGGCCAATATGGCAAAACCCTATCTCTACTAAGAATACAAAAATTAGCCAAGTATGGTGGTGTGTGCCTGTACACGCCTGTAATCCCAGCTACTCAGGAGGCTGAGGCAGAATTGCTTGAACCCAGGAAGTGGGGGTTGCAAGACTGCACCACTGCACTCCAGCCTGAGTGACAGAGCAAGACTCTGTCTCAAAAAAAAAAAAAGAGAGAAGAGAAAGGTGCTATTTACTTAGGAAAATTAAATGATAAGCCACAAACTGGGTGAAGGCATTTTCAATTTAAGCATCTAAAAATTGTCTTGGTTTTTAGATATATAAAAAACTATCTAAACGTAACAATAAGAAAACTACATTGATGCTAAGCCCTTATATAATTGCATATATTAGCATTATTCATCATTGCCAAATATCAGGGACAACATAAATGTTCCTCAAAACATCAATTGATAGAGTGAGGTACTTTCATACAATGGAACAAATCACTATTCAGCAATAAAAAAGGAACAATTAATACATTTGAAAGCTTAGAGGAATCCTAAATACTAAGTGAAAGAAGCTAGTTTCAAAAGGTTATATATGATATGATTCTGTTTATATGACATTTTGGAAAAGGCACAATTACAGAGACAGGAAACAGATTAAGAATTTCCAGGAACTAAGGGTATGGAAAGGGACTAAATACAAAATGCATTACAAAGGGGTTCTCTGTGGGGTGGAAATATCCTATATGTGGTAGTGGTTATAAGAATCTATGCATGCTCTAAAATTCATGGATGTAAACACCAAGAAAAGATGCATTTTACTATATGAACATTAAAAGAAAAGTGAAAAGAATATATTGGTATAATTAAATGATCAAATTAGTTACATTAATCATTTGTTATATTCACCCAGTTGCATTTTTGCATATCTTTTAATATTTTTAATTTTATTATTGTAGTGTATATTATAGGAGCATAAAATATAAGTTGAAACACATCATTTTACTTGTGACCTGTTCAATTTACTTTTATAAAGAGAGGATTCTTATGCCACACATAAACTTAATATTTATTTGTACTCCTCCCCCAATTTGTTTATTTGCTTTGGATTGTTTGCTTAACATTTTACTCTCAATGATTTTGAATTCATTTTTTTGCGTAAAATAAGTGAAGTTTACAATAACTCAAAGTTTTTCCTAATTTTTCTTACAGAATGTTTCAAAAATTCCATTTCCCTTAATTGCTTCTCATTTGGTGCTTTTGTTATCAGATGGTAAGTTTTTGTATGAACTACTATGTTTCTAGATTTTTCCTTAACTTTAATTGACCTGCATCTGCCATGCTTACTCTAGCCTAATGATTTTGTTAAGGCTCAGAAACTAATAGCCCAAAACATGGTATTTTGTACATGCTGAACTGAAAAGGAGCCCCAAGATCTCTCTGATCTCTTGTTACTAAAACATCACGGGTTCAGTATAGGTTCTGTTGTTTACCACACAGAAACCCAATCATTGAGACAAAAAGTTTTGCCAAGAAAGAATGCTTTAATTGGGCGTTGCAGCCAAGGATATGGGAACCAATCTCAATTCCATCTTCTTGAACAGCTAAAATCAGGGATTCATATAGAAGGGAAGAAATATAACTACATGCAGGAAAACAGGAATTAGGGAGGGGTAAGGAAAAGGATTTGGTTAACAGGAAGCAGGTGATTGGTATGGCAATCATGATGGGTGAGAAATCTGAAGTGTCATTGTACAGATATGACGATCTGGTAAGTTTCAGTTCCTTGATACTATCTGGGAGCCTTCATGGTGGTTTCCTGAGAAAGCAACTCCAATAAGACATATGTAACTTTCTCAAGTTTTAAAACTGTGAGAATAAATTTATATGTTTACTCAAAAGAAACCATTAGCATCAGTTCCATGGGACAACTGGGCCAGTTTCACTTTCCTGTTCCCTTCACTGTTTCTCCCAAAGTATAGAATTCTCTGAAGATCTCTTATCTACCTAAAATCTGGACCTACAAAAGAAGACAATTACCTCTTGCCTCTTCTCCGCATTTTTATTAACTGAACCCATATTACAAAAAGGAAGACTAAGGTCTGTCAACACACCTGGACAGACATTTGTCACTAACCATTGTCTACTCTGTGGGACCAATACACTTTGTCCCAGATCATTCTATGTTCTTCAAGCCCATTGAACTCTCTCCAGTAATCATTTATTGCCTTCGACAGAAGTCCTCTTTTCTCCACTATAATAACCTAATTTCCTGGAACCAAGCAGTCATTCTTTCTGTCACTTCAAGATGGTATCTATGCTTCTATAGCTCATTAAGGACTTAGATCTTCACTCTGAAAACTCCCTTGCATGCAGGTTAAATAAATTTGTATGCCTTTTCCCCAAGTAATCTGCCTTTTGTGAGTTGATTTTCCTGTGAACCTTCAGAGGGCCAAGGGAAACTTTCCCCTTGGCCTCTACAAGATTTTTTTTGTCTTCTTATTTAAATACACATTTATCCTCATCTTTAAGAGTAGAATGTTACCAACCTATTACATAGAAGTTAATGAAATGAAATGAGATAGTGACCTTGAAGCTTATGGAAGAATACCTGAACTATAATAGGTTCTCAAAAAATATTGTTTAAGATTATTAACATCTTTAAACTATTGAGTAGTTTTGCTTTTTGAAATACAACTATATTATTACTATCTATCTATTTCATTCAATCTATTTCTGATTAGTAATTAAAGTTGCTAAATTACATAATAATTACAATAAAATTAATAACTGTTGTTTGTTGATGCTACCAAGAAGCCAATACTTCCACCATTCACTTTACTTTTGCTTGTATAATGTCAATAATATGAAGCTAGTTTGAGACATTTAAGTAAATTGGTAAGAATTTTTATAACACTGATGCTACGGAATAACCAGACTCTATTTTATTCAATTACTTAAGAGTGTTCAATCTTCCATCATTACTTTCATCTTTATAACACTTACTACTGGACATATTTATTGAACATATAATCATGTAGTTCTTAAAGTAATACTCACATAGATTCCATACTACTCAATTACAAAATTCATGTGAAAATGTGCTTGGGTAGATTTTCTTAAGCTGAATGATTGCAGAAAAAGTGGTTCCACTTTTATCTAGATGCAATCACGTGACTTTAACAGAAGAGAGTGGGAAGCAAGTCTATCATTCACTAAACACAACAGAAGTGTTGCTTTAGTTTATAAGGGACCAAGATGGCATTAATATTCCCCTTATATGGACCAAATTTTAGACAGATTTCTTCCTGACTAGAGGTTCTTGATCTCCCTTTTCTTAGAGCATTTACTTATAATCACATATTTTTATCCAACGATTTAAAATATGTGTTTATCTTTTTAAAAACCTCTTGCCAGTTTTATAGCCCAGTGATGCAGGAGTTTGCTTGACTCCTTCATCAGACATGCAATGGGTGGGGGGTACCCTGTTTACTTGGCCCACTGTCATCAACCTCTTGTGGGAGGGAGCATGTGAGCAAGCGGGTGCAGGATCCAGCTGGCCACTTAGGGCACCAGCTGGGGCAGTCTCCCTGTGGGCTCCGCAGCCAGACCAGGTGTGGGCAAACGAGTGCAGGATCTGGCTGGCCACTTTGGGTGCTGGCAAGAGCAGGCTCTGGCGGGCCCCACAGCAGCACTGAGGTGGGGGTGCCTGCAACCCTTAAAGCCCCAGAGGGCACGTTCCAATGCTCTCTTAGCTCCGCTGTTCATGTACAGAGCTTTGCTGTCAGCTCAGTGGGCCCCTTGCCTCATCAGGTGAAGTGGCTGCCACTCTACGAGGACAAAGGGCCACTGTGACAGCCTTTTTTAGGTACCTGCACTCAGGGGGTTCTGAGCTCTTGTCTGGTGTCCAGGAAGAATTAGGTTGCATGGACATTTGAATGATGATGGAGGCAGAGAATTTTATTTAGTAATGGAAGTGGCTCTCAGCAGGGAGGGGAGCTGAAGAGGGAATGGGATAGGCAGATAATCTTTCCTAAAGTCCGATAGTCTACAGCCAGCTCTTCTCCGAAATTAAGCCATCTCTCCTCTTAAGTCCACTTGTCCCTCTGAAGTCAAGTCGCCTCTCTTCAGTCAAGCCACTTATCCTTCTCTACTGATGGAGTCTGAGTTCTTTGTAGGCACCAGATGGGGGATAGGGTGGGCCATAAGTAGTTTGGGAAAAGACAACATTCGACTGGTAAAAAGACATTGTTCAGAAAGAACCAATAGGGAAAGAGCAGACAAATAGGGATAGAAGTTCACACTTTGGGCCATGGGGTTCAGGCTTTTGAGGTTTTGCCGGGAACTCACCCGTTTGCCTAGAATTTCTGTGCCTCCTGCTTCTATCATCAGGAAATATCTTTCTCAATGATCCACAGAACTATCTCTTGGAAATGTAAACATGGAAGGAAAATGGGGCCTCTATCTCCAAGTTTCTGTGGAAATGTTAGGAGTCTAATATCCCTGGGCGCTCCAAGTTGTAAAATTACTTTGTGTCCTGAAGATAGGACAAACTTTTCTTTTGGGCAAAGCCATTTAGCAAACACAGATTGCCTGCGAGCCAATTCCCCCACACCAGCTCTTAAAATCTCTTCCGCCTTTCCTTGAGCAGAGTTGAGTATCCTGCCTTAATCTGTACTGTCTTCCCTACTAATGGTAGCAGCATTGGAAAAAAAATCAACCTCTGCATGTTCATCTTATCTGGTGAATTTTTTTTTTATAATAAACACTCGAAGTTACAACAAATTAGATAAGTGCTGAATAAATTGAAGTCATTTACATGAAATGAAAAACAAAGACAATTATCTTTAATATGATAAGTTATATTAGTACTATGTAAGTCTTTTCATGAAAGTGAATTTCAATATAAGAAAATCTCATTTTGGATTTAGGTAATATTAATTGAAATGCAGAAATGTCAACAATGTAAAATATTACAGGTACTACCAAAAATGGGAAACTAATCTTTCCAAAATATCTTTTGGAAAAATTGTAAACAACCATGGATATAATAAGAGTAACAGTGCTAAGAAATGGCTACAGTAGGACCAAAAATCTAGTAAGACAACCTCTGGGAAAGTATTTAACCTACTAAAGAGGTCTGTGACAACAAAATAAAAATGATGGATAGGATGTGTGTAGTTGCTTTCTGAGCAGCTGTCCTTTAGTTTGGATGAGTGTAAACCAAGAAGTATCTGAGACAGGTCTCAATGTGCCAAGGTTAAGCACAATGCCTGGAAGCAAAGAACACAGAATCACAGAAACGGTCTGTGGTTTCTGGGAATAAGTGGGCTGGAGGAGAAAGAGGGTGTGGTTGCAAGAGCAAAGGAGCATGTAGAGGAATAGTCCATTAGGCATTTTTCCTGTGCTTAGCAAATGGGCACTTTGCATAGGATGAGGTGAACATAGAGTAGCTACCTGTGGAGATGTTTAACCCTTTATTTGTAGCTACCTGCTTAGGAACAAAAGGAAGGGCAGTTTGTTCAATAAGTTGCCTTCCAGCTTAATTTTTTCCTTTTGGCATAGTGAACTAGGTCCTGAGTTTGTATTTTCCTCTCACGCAAGGATAATATAATTATTTTCTTTCTTTATATTACAGTATCCCAGGAAAGATCTTCTTAATTATTTACTCAGAGATGTGAAATCACACCCAAGGCAGAAAGTATAAAATAAAATAAAATAAAAAAGGGATTATGTGTCATCAAACATGTTACAGAGGAACAGCTAAATAACAGATTGATTCTATCCAGAGAGAAATCTAATGCAGATATCGTCAAATATGTACACTTTTTTTCTAAATAAATATAACTACATACCTAAGGGTACAGTTTTGACACTACTTATCTTGTTGAAGACATTAACATTATACCATTTATCCACTTTTTTGTGAGGCAAGAAAACACCAAGATCCTTAGGTAATAAGATGCTAAGCGAGTGGCCTAATAAGAAAAATAAGAAAACGAGGACTGAGAGACACAGACTCAGAGCCTATACTTAGGTTTCTTTATAGTGGGGACATTTGCTACCTCTCAAAGAGTAATGAAATGTCTTCTGCCCCCGTGAAACTTGAGTTTGGATGTAGAGACCTTCCCCTTCTTCCCAAGAGAGGAAAAAATAAGCTCTCTACTTCTGAATGGGAAGAGAAGTGAATATGGCTATTTATATACAGCTGCTGAAATTCATAACTTGGGGGTCTGTAATAGTTTCCAAACCCTGATAATACAAGACCAAAACCTGGATGGCTTAAAACAACTGAAATGTATTCTCTCACAGTTTTGGAGACTACAAGTCTGAAATCAAGGCGTCCAAGGGCCTGCTGTCTTGGAAGCCTATAAGAGAGAATCCTTCCTTGTCTCTCTAACTTCTAACAGTCTTTGGTATTTACTTGGCTTGTTGTAGCTGAACTCCAGTCTCTGCCTCTGTCTTCAGATCGCTGTCCTCTCAGTTATTGTCTCTGAATGACCTCCCTTTTCTGTGTGTCTGTCTCTAACATTGTAACCACCCAAGGGGTTCACCTTGCTCACTGCCTAGAAAGAGCCCATTTATCAAGACAAGGGAACTGAAATAGAGAAAGAGCAATTCACATAGAGCTGGCTGTGGAAGAGACTGGAGTTTTATTATTACTCAAATCAGTCTCCCTGAGAACTTTGGGATCAGAGTTTTTAAGGATAACTTGGTGGGTAGGGGGGGCCACTGAATCGAGAGTGCTGATTGGTTGGTTTGGGGATGAAATCATAGGGAGTCAAAGTTGTTCCCTTATGCTAAGTCAGTTGCTGGGTGGGGCCATCAAACTGGTTGGCAGGTCCAGGTGGGGCCATCTGATTGTTAGAAATGCAAAAACCTGAAAAGACATCTCAAAAGGCCAATCTTAGGTTCACAATAGTGATGTTACCTTTAAGAGTAATTGGGGAAGTTGCGAATCTTATGACTTCCAGAATAATAGCTGGTAATATTTAGAATTCCAGCCCCTCTCATTCTAACTTGGTGGCTGGTGGCCTTTCATTCATTTTACAAGAACAGTTTAGCTTTAGAGAAGGGCTGTTCTTTAAAGTATAAACTAAATTCCTTTCCGATACTAGTATGGCCTACACCCACGAATGGATAAGGGCAGTTTAGAGGTTAGAAGCAAGATGGAATTTTCATAATTTCCTTAGTTATAATTTGCAAATTTTGCAAATTTTCCTTAGTCTAATTTTGCAAAAGTTATAAATTTTGTAAAGGCACTTTCAACATGTGTCCGAATTTCCCCTTCTTATGAGGATATCCATCATAATAGATTAGGCCCACTGTAATGGCCTTATCTTAATTTGATTACATCTACAAAGACTCTATTTCCAAGTAAGGTGACATTCATGGACAGCAGAGGAAAGGACTTCAATTTCTTTTTTTGCAGGACAGGATTCAATTCAACAAATAATGTTCCCTTCTGTCTTCCTTTCTTCCTCTCTCTTTTGCTCCCTTCTCTTATTTCATTTTCTCTCTTTCCTTCTTTTATTCTCAGTATACAATTTGCATTGTTGCCCTAATATTTCCTGACAGAAAAATGATTTAGCAAGTTCTGAATTAATTAAAATTACATCAATAGGAATATCTATTAAGTAACAAATTTCTAAGAGTGATACATATGCAAATGAAAGAACTACATCCCTTTCTGAGTCCATGAGTTATCTAAAACCTGATAAAAAATGAATGACTGTCACTGATCTTTTCTTCTCCTTTGATATTTTGCTTTGAATATTTCTTGTCTCTCACTTCATCTCATGTTATGAAAAATCATACCATCTATTTATATTGGCTTATCTTCTACCCGTCCTCAATAAGCTTTCTTTACTAGGCATCCTCCCTGTCCCAAATGTACTAAAAGTTGTCCATTCTTAATGCAAAAATTATAAAATACAAAAAAAAAAAAAAACAAATTTTATTCTGATTCTTCATAAGATACAGTATTATCTCACTCCTTTTTCACAAATGTTTTCAAAGAAATTTAAATTGTTTTAACCACCACCTTACCACCCTTTTAATCCTCAATTATCTGGCATTCAACCTCCATCAACTGGCCAGGCAGTGATGGCTCACTCCTGTAATCCCCCAGGTGGGTAGATTGCTCGAGCTCAGGAGTTTGAGATCAGCCTGGGAAACATGGTGAAACCCTGTCTCTAAAAAAATACAAAAATTAGCTGGGTATGGTGGCACATGCCTATAGTCCCAGCTACTCAGGAGGCTGAGGTAGGAGCATTGCTTGAGCCTGGGAGGTCGCACTGAGCTGAGGTTGCAGTGAACTTAGATTGCACCACTGCAGTCCACACTCCAGCCTGGTTGACAGAGTGAGTCTGTCTCAAAACAAACAAACAAACTCTCTGTTCTCCCCAACTTTATCCCTACTCCAGAGGCAGTTTTCCAATAAGATGGACCTGGCTTTTATCCAGGCACATCCTCTTTCCAGCTGTGTAATCTTCAATAAGTTACTTACATGCTAACTCTTGATTTCTTCCTCTATAAATGGTCATAATGCTTTCTTAAAATGAAGTTCATTGAGCTAAGGCGTATGCATATTTAGTTACACAGTACAAGTTTGACAATGGTTAATCACTCAATCCAAGTTATTTCAATAATAGTAAATATTAATGTTATAATGTGTACTTTTAAGTAATATTTAGTTAAATCACATTCAAAGTGATTTTGAACACACAGCTTTTCGCACTCTTTTAACTGTTTAGGGCTGCCACTAGACTCTACCCTCAAGCAAAATTATCATCTGATTTGAAATTCATTTTATTTGAGTATATCCTCTGCATTTGTTCGTATTTACTACTAATGTTTAGAACACTCCTCTGCGTTAATCAAGGACATTCTACATGATGGTCTCTTTCTTCTTCAAATCTTTCCAGAATTCCTGACATCTCCAGAATGCACTAGGCTAACATAGCCTCTTTCCTAGATTTTTCTTTCTACCAGTGTGGCAAATTATCATTTTCAGCCAACCTCAGCAACCCATCAGCATACTCTTACAGTGTACCTTGGCTTCAAATTAGTGGGTCCTACACTGTAATTGGATTCCCCATTAGCCAATCAGCTCATCAAATCTTTTAGATTTTAATGATTCTTAAATGTTTCTCAAAATTAGTTGAGAAAATTCTCAACAAACAAGAAAGGCAAGAGCAAAAATCTACTGGAAAATTATTTTGAGTTTGAGTTTTCAACGCAGTTTGAGAACCACTCCCAGCCAGCTTTCATTTTTTATTCATGACAGGTGTCAATCCTTTACTATATCTCTTCCCATTTTAAACATTCTTTGAGATGACCTTGCCTCCTGCTATGAAGAAGTAATTCAGGCTATCAATTATGAATTTCCATAACTACTTACTTTTTCCACCAATAAATTTATTGATATTCACTGCAGTCTTTCCTCTTTCTCTTCAGGACAAGTAGGATGGATATACGTCTTCTAAGCCACACAATTATTTTACCTGTGCTCATGTCTCCATACTGACTTGTGATTTCTCAAGGGGTCTTGCTCTATCAGCTCTGTCTTTAGTGGCTGTCTTAGTTAACTTGGGCTGCTGAAACAAAATGTCATAGACTGGTTGACTTAAGCAACCGACATTCATCATTTATTCCTCACAGTTCTGGAGGGTGGAGAAGTCCAAGATCAAGGTTCTGAGAGATTCAGTTTCTGGTGAAGATTCCTTCTTGGTTTGCACACCTCCAAATACATTGGGAGTTACAGTGTTCAAATACAAATTTTGAAGCAATATAAACACTTAGTACACAGCAGTGACATGAACTGTTTCTCTCCTGAAACTTTATCATAAATACGTAATAATACTTAAGACTCTTTCATCTAAAAACTATACAAACTAACAAAACTACCACATTCTTCTTTGAGAGTTAAATTCTAGACAACAATGAATCTCTCTTTTAACTTTATAAGTAAAATTTCTAGAAATAATTCTTTATGCTCACTGACTTTACTTTCACTCTCTGTATATTCATCCATCTGGCTTCAACATTTATTTCCCTCTGAAACTGCTCTTATGTAGTCCAACAGGCCAGATGGTTCTGAGAACATATACTATGAGCTGATGATGCTGAGAAAAATCTAACTAAGACTTTTTACATTTTTAAGAGAGGCGTGAAGACGATCAGAATCAGAAACATTATATAAGATCACATTCTATGTTACAGACAAGACTCTGGCAAAATTCAAACTCTCCAAAGTGTGTCAATCTCATGTACACAATGACCACCCCATGCATTTTAAAAATGTTTGTGCATCTGGCTATATTAGTGAAAGCTTGCTTACTTTATCTCATATCAGTAAATGACAAATACAGACAGAACAACACTATAGCATCAGTTAAAAAAAACTACCAAATATATAGAATGGTCATAATTCCACGATCTAAAGCTTTAAGAGTTTTATGATAAAAAATCTTATAAGACAGGGAGATAGGCAATTCTAGGAAAATCATGTTGGTATCATGCCAAGATCACTTAGATGCAGGTCCAGTTTTGATGGTAAGATATAAATATATATATTTGCATGTAAGTCTTTTTACACGTATATTTGGAAAATAGTTCTTAAGGTTAATTATAAGAGTATGTAGAAACGGGGTATTCATAAATTTCTAGTGGCAGAATATTTTGGTACTTCATTTCTTGAAGAAAATTAGAAAATTTGTCAAGTATCAAATATCTTACTATTTAGATTTGCTTTTAATAGAACAATATTAATTTTGCAATGTATTTGTTTACAACGATGAAAATGGAAAACAATATAAAATCCATTAATAGGTAGTGTGTTAAGTAAATACATATACATACAGAGGCATACTTGGAAGCCACTAAGGAATCTATACCACCAAAATATATAGTTCTTGGAAAATATCTCACCTTATAAAGAGTTAAATGATATGCAGGTTACCAAACGGTATGTAAATAGAATATCAATTTTATAATTCATGCATAATATGTCAATCTATATATACAGAAAGGAATCTGGAAGAATTTGCAATTCTTGATCTTGCTTAATTTTTAGGGATCAGATTATGAATAAGTTTTGCTTTTTGTGTAGCTATTCTAATTTTAAAATAAAATACGTTGTATTAATATAAGGCAATTATGTGAGGAAATACTAGAATTATAACTTCTGCTCAATCTCCTTCACTTACCCAAGTGACAGGCATTGGCTCTGCGTCTCCACTCAAATCTCATCTCGAATTGTAATCTCCACGTGTCAGAGGAGGGGCCTTGTGGGAGGTGATTAAATCATGGAGGTGGATTTCCTCCTTGCTGTTCTCGTGATAGTGAGTGAGTTCTCACGAGATCTTATGGTTAAAAAGTGTGGCACTTCCGCCTTCAGTCTCTGTCTCTCCTGCTCTGCTACGGTAAGACGTGCTTGCTTCCCCTTCACCTTCTGCCATGATTGTAAGTTTCCTGAGGCCTCCCAGTCATGCTTCCTGTATGGCCTGCAGATCTGTGAGTCAATTAAACCTCTTTTCTTCATAAATTACCCAGTCTCAGGTAGTTCTTTATAGCAGTGTGAAAATGGACTAACACTCTAAATGAATGACTGAAGAGGGTTTTCATTTGTTTGTTTGTTTATGATAGTCTTGCTCTGTCACCCAGGCTGGAGTGCAGTGGCTTGATCATAGCTCACGGCAACCTCGAACTCCTGGGCTCAAGCTATCTTCCTACCTCAGCTTCCTGAGTAGCTGGGACTGCAGGCACATGCCACCACACTTGGCTAATTTTTAAATTTTTTTTGTAGAGAGAGATTCTCGCTAAGTTGCCCAGGCTGGTCTCAAACTCCTGGCCTTAAGCAATCTTCCTTCCTTGGTGCTGGGATTAGAGGTGTGAGTTACTGCATCCAGCTAAGTGAAGAATTTAATTAAGGGGTAGCTTCTATATATGACCATAACTCAGTAGAAAATATGTCAAATATCCTATTCAATTTCACAAGAACATATGTAAAAGTATGCTAGATGCTATAACAAATTTTTAGTCCAGATATGGTTAAACATTGTGATTGGCTCTATGGTTTTAAAGTTACTCTGTCAAAAATTCTGGGCATTAGGTTGAGATTGGTGTCTATTACTCACAGAGTTACTCAGGGAATAAAGATAAATGCTAGTACCCAAATAGGGCCTCTCTAACATCTTAAAACTGCTCTGAATATTCATTCCTTTTGTGTATTTATATACAGAGTCTCATTACACTCAATCTTTACCTTTAGTTCAAACAAACAAAGTGTCCTGAACTCTCACCTTGACCCACTCATATTTTCCTAAAGTCCACAATGAATCGCTGGCTATTGAATGACTTCATCTCTAGCAATGAAGTTTTTAACTGCAGTGTGTGCCTGGATTGCATTTACACAGTTTAAAAACGTCTTACTGAATCTGGAACATAATGAGGGCCAATGTTTTAGTTTTTGACATGAATAATTAATACGGAAGAAAAGCATCATTAGAGAAATACTTACTGAACTTTTATACAAGTTTCTTGCTTTTGAACCTTAATTCATAATAAAATACATTTCAGCACATATATCTATTTAAAGTAATTCAGACCTCTGAACTGTTTAGTGTCATACTGGGCATATTTTCTGTTCTGTTATGTAGGGATTTGGTGTATTTGTTACTACTGTGGAAACATACGCATTTTCATAAGTTTTTTCATCCAGATATAATTTAAGCAATGTATAAAAATTATCATATTAAAATATTATTTCTATTTCCAAAGGTCATAATAAGATCATTGAATTCCAGTTGTACCAGTATTAAATGAAACTCCTTGGAGTTTAGGAAAAATAAAAGGACATTATCATGTGCAGACTTCATTACTCAAATGGCATTATATACACTTCAAATTATGCATGATTTGTTTAGGAAAAAAATGTTGGCTGGAATGCATTGTAATTTGTTTACCTGTAGCCAGTTTTCATCGTTTCCCATAAACCTTCCCTATTACATGATAGAGCCACAAAGTACCATCTTATATAGGACAAATACAAAAATATATTCTTTTCTTCAACTACAAATTATATTTAGCTTTCTTCAGAAATGTGTAGCTATTTTTTCCTCATACTATGCCTATAGAAGTTGCTTCTTTTTACATAGTATATGTAATATTTATTGCTTTAATTTCATCATGATAAACACAAAGGAAAGAAAGCCTACATTTCAGTGTGTAATTTGCTTAAAATAACCAGAGTCCATTAAGGTCCATTGACACATGCCCTTGTATAAGCACACTATGTTATATATTTACCTCCAACTCAGTGAAGCTACTTCTGGTATCTGATACAATATACATCTCTCTTACACAGAATTGGGAAGATGGGCTTTAGATAGTTCAGAGTAAGGAAAATTCAACCAAGATCATACCTTTCTCTATATAAATGTATATGATAAGTGAGCCAATTTAGTCAATTTCACAAAAATAGATTCATCTTTACATTTTGAAAAAATGTATCACGTTGCTTTTTACTTAACCATTTTAACTCATTAACTGTGCTGATACATGACTTAATATAGCAATGGTAACTGTAAATGTTGGGAATGATATTTACAATTGTCCTCACACTTCAACTAATACGTTGATGCTGATATTTATAAGCTCAATAGAATAATGAAGTGTCTGTAATGTGTGATGTATATAATTTTAATGTTTCTAAAGCTTTGTTGTAGCTGTAGTTCAGATGGAAACATTGCTCTACTTTGTTTACCCTTCATCATGAAGTTCTTTAAAATAGCATTTCCTAAAATACCATGTCATTATAAACTTTGACCAATCTCATTTAATTCTAAGATGTCAGGCTTGTAGATATATAACTAAATAAAGAAAAACAAAAAACCCTCCAAAACTGGGGGAATTTAATTAACATAAGTGGAGTTTGAATAATATATTTTATTGATTTTATGACACACTTTTTTCTTAGCATGTGTATTATAAAAAGGGAAATTCAGTTCCATAGAATTATACATTTTTAAATAATACAGAAACATTAACCTATTCAATTTAAATAGACTTTTCCTTTAATCTAAACGATATAAAACTGCTTTGTACACTTAATATTAACAGGTTTTTCTGTCATCTTAATGGATTATTTGCTATAATATTAACAGTATATTTATAATATTGGCAGAGATCTGAATTCTGGGTATTCAAAGAAATTGTCTTTAAGTAGGAAACTAAATCTAAGAGTTTAAAAAACTGATTTTTAAAAAATTAAAACAGCCTATTCAGGATCCGAATCGCCAAGCATTAAAAGAAAGTGAGCTATAGAATGCTATCAAGGCTACCAAACAACGCAAGACACTTAGTACTTTTACATTTGACTTCTCCCGTTTAAACTCCAGGATGACACCGAATTTGGAAAGATAAGAGGACAGAACAGAGCAAGTACACATTTAAATACTGTGCTAATTTAGAATTGAAAGAAAATTAATTGAAATGATCCAACCCTTTACAATAAAGTACAGTGTCTTCAATGTATCATATTGTGTTACAGGAAGGCTTGCAAACTGTTCTGTGTTAACAGCTTGTCTGTTTTCTAAAATTAATTGCCTTCAGTCGTATGAACAGCAGAGCATGATCAAGTAACATGAAAGCTTTGGACAGATAAATAATAAAGGCATCCTAATTTATTCTTAGTTCACCACCAACACCACAAGATTAATACATTTCAAAAGGGCTAATTGAGTGAAGTCTTTAGCCTAAAATTGCTATGAAAACATCATCCAAATAGAAAGCACAACACAGCTCCGCAGAGTTGCTAAAACAATCAGGCAGAAGTAACACAGAAATCAACAGCAGGGATAAGAGGTATTTGAAGATGCTGAAATATTTCTTCTGCATCTGTTATAAAATGTTATACTCTATAGGAGGCTGAGCTATCTTTTCCATGTGCAAGATTAAAGGGAGAAAAAAAGTAGAGAAATGCTGGTCAAGAGAAGATTTTGTTTCATAACGAGCCAAACTGGTCTAACTTCATTTTTTTGTCTCTTTCTTTTATAGTCCCTGTTGCCTGTGCCAATAAGGACTAGAGTTATTTTTTTAAATGATGCAAATACTACATTAGGAAAACTATTCAACTAAATATGTAGGTAGCCTGCTATACAAAGTATTTGATAAGCATGTGCCGATAAATATGCATAGGTGTATGAAAAGCTGTGTCAATAAAATACTTTTGGTAAGTAGTCATTTATGCATGTTCACTTTTTAAAAATCACTGCAGTAGACATCAGAAAAACTTTGTTCTAGTCTTGGCTTTGCCTAAAAACAATTCCCTAATAAGGAGTAAATAGTTTGTGCAAAATATTCCTCATGGTTATTTATAAAATTTTATTATATTATTCTACTTATAATCTGGTCAGAGAACAGGAAGAATAGCAGAACAGTGACAAGTAGATCATTATTTCATCATGTTCAAAAAGAGTCCAAGACAAGATCAATTGTTAGCCTCCCCTGCAAATATGTGGTTGAGTACAATATATATTTATGCAATATATATGCATATATTTGTATGTCACAGAAATATATTTTTTAAAATTTTAATATGAATATGCTTGATTTTATACAGTATAAATCTCCTATGTTCCTTTATTTCTTTAGAGAAATCACACATATGAACAGAATGGACAATATTTCTGAAAACATTATAATGTATTACTAAACATAGTCTTGCTTTGTTATCAGAACACTTTTGATGTGTTTTTAATCATTGTGAAAGCCAAATTTACTTACATGTAAAATGACTCTGTATTAAACATAATATTCAGAACTCGGGTTTAGAATGCAAAGATTCTAAAAGTAGTATATACTCTAAAAGTATTTAACTATCAGAAGGTAGAATTTGAAATCCAATGTTTTGAAAAACAAAAATGGAGATTTTAATTTTTTCTAATAATGCTTAGCTTCCTTGCATTTACTGTAATTATTTTATAAAATTTAGCAGATTAAATCCTAAATTTATATAATTTAACAAATTGTCTATAAATAGAATCTCCTTAAATAATTACTCATAAACTGGTAAACAACTGAACATGAGTGAAATAATAGAGAAAAACTGAACTTATATTTGAGTGAAATTATTCACTAGAGATATTGATAAAGGTAAATATATTGATGTATTTAATGCAAGTTAAGATCTCTCAACTGACAAAGAAAATTTCATAGAAGTTTGGAAAAAACATATAATATTAAGATTTGCTAAAAGATTACTATAATTATCATATTAATGGTATTACTAGAGATAAATTCATGTTAAAATATGTAAAAGTTCTTTTATACTTTCCACTTGCTCACATAGTACACAAAACCCCTAATTGTGAATATTTTGAAACTGCCACCACTGTGTGTTAAATGACCTTTTAAAACGTCAAAGCTAGGCAAAATGATCAAATAACAAAAGCTTTGCTTTGACACTTGTGCATTTCTCCTTATAGCATGACATAATGCTAGATAACTGGGAAGAGACCTACAGGTGAGGTTGCTGATGAGAAAAACAATGTCTTTCTTTGTGCCTGAAATGACAGGACTATTCTTTCAACCAAAAATTCAATGGATTCCCCTTGGGGCAATTCCCTTACTTCCCTTTCTTACGGTTTATACTTTGTAATCATGCCTATCATGCGTTGTCCAATCAGATGCTATTTCTCCCCATCTTTGTATTGCTCTCTGCCACTGATCACCTTCCCTTCTGTCCACTGAAACACTGACTAGGAATCTCATTCCCCGATAGGCAGTGCTGATCCTGAGGTTTTTAGTATTTACTCTGAAAGTAATAATACACATAATACTTCTTCAAATCAGTTTGAGAAAAGCTTTCTACCTATTTTTTGTCTCTATGGGTCATTATTTAATAATGCAAAATGAAGAAAATAAATTAGTTAAACAACCATTTGATTTAGTTTCAAAATAGATAATGTAAGATAAAACCTATAAACACCATCCCAGTTATTCAATCAGTTCAATTTATAAGAATGAAATCAATTTCCTACTGATATAAACAATAATTATTTTGATCTTTTATATCTAAATGAGGTGAAGAGGGTAATATTGATACAAAAACACTTTGATATTCAATGAAGCTAAGTATTATGAAATAAAATCATTATAGAATGAACATTATGTGAATAGTAAAAAAACTACTTGCTCTTAATTAGCTGTACTGTAAGATAATGATGAACAGACTATGACACAAGAAATGAATTCAATAAATTCATCATGTCTTTCAAAGTGTGCAATTAAATTATTTTACCAGAAAAATCATGTTACTTTTTAAAAATATTAAGATTTATTTCATAAGTCATTTATTACAGTAATGCATAGCTTAACAATGGGAAAATATTCTGGGAAATATGTCTTTAGGGGATTTTGTCATTGTGCAAATGTCATAGGGTATACTTACACAAACTTCAGATAGTAGAGCCTACTACACACCTAGACTATATAATATAGCGTATTACTCTTAGGCTACATGTTACTGTACTGCATACTGTACTGAATACTGTAGGCAATTGTAACACAATGGTATTTGTATATGTAAACATATATACACATACAAAAGGTACAATAAAATCAGTATTGTAATCTTCTGGGACCACCACCTTAGATGTGGTTCATTGTTTTTTGTTTTGTTTTGTTTTTGTTGTTGTTGTTGTTTTTTGAGATGGAGTCTTGCTGTGTCACCAGGCTGGAGTTCAGTGGCATGATCTTGGCTCACTGCAACCTCCAACTCCCAGGTTCAATCGATTCTCCTGCCTCAGCCTCCTGAGTAGCTGGGATTATAGGAGCATGCTACCACACCAGGCTAATTTTTGTATTTTTAGTAGAGATGGGGTTTCTCCATGTTGGCCAGCATGTTCTTTATCTCCTGACCTTGTGCTCCACCCATCTTGGCCTCCTAAAGTGCTAGGATTACAGGAGTGAGCCATCGTGCCCAGCCTGTGGTTCATTGTTAATGGAAATGCTATTACATGGCTCATGACTTTATATTTCTCAATGTATGCTAGCCCTCAAATGCACAGCAGTGAAGTCTCAATCTATATTGTTACTTATGTAAGTGATATCTAAGCTATCTCTAGGTACTAAAGTAAGGTGCCAGTCCAGCTTATTGAAAGTCTAATTTAATTAATTCAGGCAGGACTTGGAAATTGGATTATTAAGAAGACAATTAACTGTGGTACAGCATAGAGTGTAGAGGCATTTCTAAGAACCACCTCTTTTTGAAAAGAAAACAGCAGCTTTTTGGCATGAAACACTTTTGCTGAAAGGTAATTTTAACTGTAGATAGATAGTGGGAATTATGCTGGAAATGAGAAAATATTCGGGAGAAAAAAATTGAACAAATAGAAGTTACCTATTCTTCATTAGGCCACTGGCCGATCTGATCAGTTGATTAGCTCCTATATCTAGATACTACTGGCCCTTGCCTTAATTTGGGGGCACTATAACTATTTCAGTCTCTCTTGCTGGTTGTCAGTCTGTTACTTAGTCTGTTTCACCCTCTGCAGCCATTCTTAGAGCCAAAGTATCTTTTAATTTCAAAGCATATTTCTAGATAAGCACAAATTTTATGTCTATGACTATCAACTCTATTGCCTCAATAGTCCCCTTTCCTTCTTTATTTCTTTTATGTTTTAAATGTGGGCAATTAGATGCTTTCACTCTTTTCCCACTGCCCCATCCCAACCTACATACACAAAAGATCCATGAGTGTTGAATTTGTCTGCAAAACCTTTTTAAAAGAAATTTTGAATTTGAAAAGAAAGTTTAACATCAGAGATTCTCTCATAAAAGTCTTCACTACTAACATCTCTTTAAATATCTGTGGGCCAGTTACTCTAGGTTTGTCTCCAGGTGAGCTGGTAAAATCGGCTGTTGTTTTGCTGGGACATGTGCTTGTTTGTTGTCTCAGTCTCCATCACTTCCTATACTTGGCTGCTCTACAGATTTTCTTTGTTAGCTTCTCCATGGAGGCATTTGATATTGTATTCTTGTAATGAACACTGTTTTAAATAAGCTGTAAATGGACATATGACTTACTATTCAATGAATAAATACTCTCTGTGGGTGATTGGGGCAGAAATCTAATTGTTTACAAATACTTGTGAGTTGTCTGCTTTGACAATGATATTGTTTGGCTGTGTCCCCACCCAAATCTCAATTTGAATTGTAATCATTCTCATGTGTCGAGGATGGGGCCAACTGGAAATAACTGAATCATGGTGGTGGTTCCCCCACACTGTTCTTGTGGTAGCAAATAAGTCTCATGAGATCTGAGAGTTTTATATTTAAGCTTGTTCCCCTCCACAAACTCTCTCTCTTGCTTGTTGCCATGTAAGACATGACTTTGCTCCTCATTCACCTTCTGCCATGATTGTGAGGCTTCCTGAGCCATGTGGAACTTTGACTCAATTAACTATCTTTCCTTTATAAACTACCCAGTCTTGGGTATGTCTTTATCAGCAGCGTGAGAACAGACAGTCAATGCAGTAGAGTGAGGTGTTGCTCTAAAAATTCCCAAAAATGTGGAAGTGACTTTGGAATTGTGTAACAGGCAGAGTTTGGAAGAGTTTGGAGGGCTCAGAAGAAGATAGGAAAATTTGGGAAATTTTGGAACTTCCTAGAGACTTGGAGGGCTCAGCGGAAAAGAAGATGTGGGAAGGTTTGGAACTTCCTAGAAACTTGTTGAGTGGCTTTGACCAACATGCTGATAGTGATATGGACAATAAAGTCCAGGCTAAGGTAGTCTCAGGTGAAGATGAGAAACTGGTTGGGAACTGGAGTTAAGGTCACTCTTGCTATACAGAGACTGGTGGAATTTTGCCCCTGACATAGAAATCTATAGAACTTTGAACTTGAGAGAGATGATTAGGCCTATCTGGTGGAAGAAATTTCTAAGTGGCAGAGTTCAAGAGGAAGCAGAGAATAAAAGTTTGAAAAATTTTCAGGCTAATGATTCAGTAGAAAAGAAAAACTCATTTTCTGGGGATAAATTCAAGCCAACTGCAGAAATTTGTTTAAGTAATGAGGAGCCAAATGCTAATTACTGAGACAATGGAGAAAATGTCTCCAGGGAATGACAGAGACTTTTTGGCAGCCCCTCCCAGCACAAGCCCAAAGGCCTAGGAGGGAAAAATGGTTTTCTGGGCTGGATCCAGGGCCCCCCTGCTGTGTGCAGCCTCAGGACGTGATGCCCTGCATCCCAGCTGCTCCAGCTGTGGCTAAATGGGGCCAATGTACAGCTTGAGCTGTTGTTTCAGAGGGTGCAAGCCCCAGGCTTTGGCAGCTTCCATGTGGTGTTGAGCCTGAAGGTGCACAGAAGTCAAGAATTGAGGTTTGGGAACCTCTGCCTAAATGTCAGAAGATGTATGGAAAGGCCTGGATATCCAGGCAGAAGTCTGCTGCAGGGGTGGAGCCCTCATGGAGAAGCTCTGCTAGGGCAGTGCAGAAGGGAAATGTGGGGTTGAAGCCTCCACATGAGTCCCCACTAGGGCACTGCCTAGTGGAGCTGTGAAAAAAGGGCTATCATCCTCCAGACCGCAAAATGATAGATCCAATCCACCAATAGCTTCCACCATGCACCTGGAAGAGCTGCAGACAATGCCAGTCATGGAAGCAGCTGGGGCAGGAGGCTGTACCCGGCAAAGTCACAAGGCAGAGCTGCCTAAGACTATGGGAACCCACCTCTTGCATCAGCATGACCCAGATGTGAGACGTGGAGTCAAAGGAGATCCTTTTGGAGCCTTAAAATTTGACTGCCTCACTGGATTTCAGACTTACATGTGGCCTGTAGCCCCTTTGTTTTGTCCAATTTCTCCCATTTGAAATGAATGTATTTACCAAATGCCTGTAATCCCATTGTATCTAGGAAGTAATTAACTTGCTTTTGATTTTACAGGCTCATAGGTGGAAGGGACTTGCCTTGTCTCAGATGAGACTTTGGACTGTGAACTTTTCAGTTAATGCTGAAATGATTTAAGACTTGGGGGAACTGTTGGGAAGGCATGACTGTTTTGAAATATGAGGGCATGAGATTTGCAGGGGAGGTCGGGTTGAAATGATATAGTTTGACTGTATCCCCACCCAAATCTCAACTTGAAATGAGTAATACACACACGTCAAGGGTGGGAACAGGTATAGATAATTCAGTCATGGGGGTGGTTTTTCCCATACTGTTCTCATGGTAGTGAATAAGTCTCAAAAGATCTGATGGTTTTATAAATTGGAGTTCTCCTGCACAAACTCTCCCTCTTGCCTGTCACCATGTAAGATGTGACTTTCTTCTTCATTCACCTTCCACCATGATTGTGAGGCCTCCTCAGCCATGTTGAACTTTGAGTCAATTAAGCCTTGTTTCTTTATAAACTACCCAGTCTCAGGTATGTCTTTATTAGCAGCATGAGAACAGATTATACAGACAACTTCTACTCTACATTTCCAAGTCCCTTTGTAGTTAGGCAGAGCCATGCCTTCAATTCTGGTCAGTGTTTTCAATGGAAATTATGGACTTTTTCCTGGCTTGACCCCTATAAAATCTCCCCAAGCTCCTTCGAGATCTTTTTCTTATCTAAATGCCTGCAATTAAGTGGAGGATTCTGAGACCCTAAATATTGCAGATGTAGAAGATGGAGTTGGCTTGTCTCCCTGACAGCATGAAACACAGGCCACTGGTTACCTGTATTGTAACATGACACAAGAGACATACAAACTTTATTGTGTTAAGCCATGAATATTTGCCTAATATTTGTAAGAGAAGTTAGATTATCCTGATTAGTTCAACAGATGGGGACAAGAAGCAGAGAAATTCTAGGCAGAAAAGGGCAGGTCCCTGGTGAAACCCCACCCTCAAGCTGAAAAGCCTGAGACAGCAGCCCAAAGTGAGAATTTATATCTCTGTTTTTCTGCTCAAATGTTGCCTTTTCCTAGAACATCCTTGGCCCCACCCCATCCCATCCTATGCCTATAAAGACCCCAGACTCAGCTGACAGAGAGGAGAAGCAGCTGGACATGAGGGACTATGGCTGGATATCAGAGAGATGCAGCTTGACTTCAGAGGGACAGCTTGACTGCATAACTTCAGAGAAGTATCTGGCCAGAGACCACTGGACTTCAGGGGAAGATTACCTTCCCACCCAGTTCCCTTTTCAGCTGCCCTTCCTGCTTAGACCCACTTTCATTGGCAATCAAATTCCCCACATTTATCATCCTTCAATTTTCTGCATGACTTCATTTTTCCTGGATGCTGGCCAAGAGGTCAGGAGCTATGAGTGTGGATGCAAAAGGCTGCCACACTAGCTCTTTGCCCTTGTTGGTGGAAGGCAGGTGCCTCATCAAAAAGGCAGAGGGCCCACTTATCTGTTAACACTTCAGCCATCTACAGATGGCAGAGCTAAAAGACCACTGTAACATGCTCTCTGGGGCTTCAGGGATTGCGGACACCCCCAAACGCTGCTGCAGGGCCTGCACGGAGTTTGCTCCTTCCAGTGCCCAAAAGCAATCACCTCAGCTCCTGGACCCACTCACCTTTGTGCTCCCTCCCACAAGGGATGGAGCACAGCAGGTCTGAGTGAGTGGAGTTCACTCCTGCTGGCACTGAAATAGCCAGCTGGTTTCCAGTGCCTTGTGTACTCCAGTTCCTCCCTTGTTCACTCATGTACTTCCTCCTATGAGGAGTTGAGTGCTGCAGGCTGAGTAAACAAGTCGCAAGTCCTGCAAAGGGGTTAGGGGAATATCTTGCTTCACAACCCCACTATCTGCAAATTGATACTTGTAACAATTGCCATAGTGTTAGATAAATAATACTTTCTTATAATTACTGTTTTCTTTTATCAAAAATTACCAGCATGTGTATCTTTAAGAAGATTATTTGAGATCTTTTGGAGACCACATTCTCTCTGAATTCTCTTTTTTCTGAATCTTTTCCAATTAAAAAATGGCATTTTTATGTGTTGTTATAGCATTTGCTAAATTAAAATGAAAGAGACTTTTATGTGTTAGCAATAAGTTGACATACAATTTATTGTCTAGACCAGGACACTTTTGATAGTAAAAGATTTTGCTGAAAATAATTTAAATTATATAATTTCTGAAATATTTTATTGAATAACATTTAATAAGTTGAGACATTAAAAGTTCTCAAAATAAATTTTTTTCTAAAATAAAAATTTTCAAAATATGTTTTTAAAAATTATTTTCAAAAATACACCTTAAAATATATTACAGAAAAATTTTAAAAATACTGTTTTTATTTAAACATTAAAATATAAGCATTAAATTATTTTTGTGACTTTATATATTTTAATCAATTTCTCACTGTATGTATCACTAATACCAAGTCATTTGTGCATTTATAAAGAAAAATTGTTTTCAATATTCAATATTCAGTTTTTATATTTTATCATAAATATGTTCATAATCTTCATCACAGTCTAATTGTGTGCTTAATTAAAATGTTTGATGCTTTCAATTGACTCAATCTTACAGCAGATTTTTAATTGGGGAATGTTCAGAAAAATGCACTAGTAGAGAAAGTATAGTATCAATCCTGCTTGTTTATTATTTAAATGTGAAAATATTACAGCCCAAATATATTCAGAGCTACTGTCTTTTTACCTGTGGATTCCAGAGTATCTTTCTTTGATAAATATTCATATGAGAAAAACAAAAAAATTAGTTTTTACATTTTAAACTTATTTTATTATTTTTAAATTTTTTTAACATTTATTTTAGGTTCAGGGGTACATGCAGGTTTGTTACACAGGCAATTTGCATGTCACAGAGATTTGGTGTACAGTTTATTTTAGCACTTGGTTAATAAGCATAGTACCCAAAAGTTAGTTTTTCTATCTTCACCATCCTCCTACCATCCAACTTCAAATAGGCCCCAGTGGTTATAGGATTTTTCTTTGAGTCCAAGCTCAATGTTTAGTTCCCACTTAAAGTGAGAATGTCTGAAATTTGGTTTTCTGTTCTTGTGTTAGTCTGCTTAGGATAATGGCCTCCAACTCCATCCATATTGGTGCAAAGGCCATTATCTCACCTTTTTAAAAATGGCTGTATAGCATTCCGCTGTATACATTTACCACATTTTTTTTTTATCCAGTCTACCATTGACGGGCATTTAACTTGATTCCATGTCTTTGCTATTGTGAACAGTGTTGCCATGAATATACATGTGCATGTGTGTTTAGGGTAGAATGATTTATATTCCTTTGGTTATATACCCAACAGTGGGATTGCTGGGTCAAATGGTAACTCTGTTTTGAGTTCCTTGAGAGATCACCAGCTGCTTTCCACAATAGCTGAACTAATTTACTTCCTCACCAGCAGTGTGTAAGTGTTCCCTTTTCTCCACAAACTTGCCAGCATCTGTTATTTTTTGACTTTTTGATAATAGCCATTCTGACCTGTGTGACATGGTATCTCATTGTGATTTTGATTTGCATTTCTCTAATAATTACAGATGTTAAGCATTTTTTTCACATGCTTTTTGACTGCGTATATGTCTTCTTTTAAATAGTGTCTGTTTTTGTCATTTGCCCACTTTTTTAACTTTTTTGCTGTTTAGGAAGAAAAAATACAGCTCGCTGCCAGCACTCATCTAATTTTACATAAACATGTTCTTTGAGGCTCAAGCAAGTCTGACTGATTTTCAATGTGAAAAGAAAACATAAAAGTTCTTGGAACTATTTCTAAACAGAAGTAACAACAGAATTGTCTGAATCAGCAGAATCATCGATTTTGGAAAAATTAATTTATCAAATGAATCTTAGGCCAAAAATTGTTCAAAAACAATGTTAACATCACACGCAGGAATGCTACATTTTCTCAGATTGGACATTTTCAGTGATCAAGAATACTATATTTTGTAAATGGAAATACAACTACTAAAACCAGAATGCTATAAATACAATAATGTCTTTTGTTTCCAAAGCGGATACACTAGAGTGACACAAGAATAATAATAAAGGTGAGATATTTTGTGGCAAACTTATTTAGGGTAAATGTTGCAGCCACAAGCACCACTGACAAGTATTCTTGGGTAAAATGGGAAAGGGGTTAATGGGGTTGTTTCTTTTGTGCTTGCAAATTTGTTTAAGTTCCTAATAGATTTTGGATATTTAATATTTGTTGGATGCATTGTTTGCAAATATTTCTCCCATTCTGTGGGTTATCTGTTTACTCTGTTGATAGTTTCTTTTGTTGTGTAGAAGCTCCTTAGTTTAATTAGGTCCCATTTGTCAATTTTGTTTTTGTTGCAATTGCTTTTGGCATCTTTATCATGAAATCTTTGCCAGGTCCCATGTACAGAATGGTATTTCCTAGGTTATCTTACAGAGTTTTTATAGTTTTAGGCTTTACATTTAAGTCTTTAACACATCTTGAGTTAATTTTTTATATGGTGTAAGAAAGGGGTTTAGGCTCAATCTTCAGCATATGGCTAGCCAGTTTTCCCAGCACCATATATTGAATAGGGAGTTCTTTTCTTATTGCTTATGGGAAATTTGTCATTTTCTCTGAAGATAAGATGGTTATAGGTGTACAGCATTATTTCTGGGCTTTCTATTCTGTTCCATTGGTCTGTGTGACTGTTTTTGCACCATTACCATGCTATTTGAGTTACTGCAGCCTCATAGCACAGTTTGAAGTAAGATAATGTGATGCCTCCAGCTTTATTCTTTTTGCTTTGTATTGCCTTGGCAATTCAGTCACTTTTTTGGTTCCATATAAATTTTAAAATAGTTTTTCCTAATTCTGTGAAGAACGTCATTGGTACTTTGGTAGGAATAGCATTAAATCAGTAATTATTTTGGGCAGTTTGGCCATTTTCGCAATATTGATTCATCTTATCCATGAACATGGAACATTTTTCCATTTGTTGGTGTCATCTCTGATTTTTTTGAGCAGTGTTTTGTAATTCTTATTGTAAAGGTCTTTCACCTCCTTAGTTAGCTATATTCCTGGTTATTTTATTCTTTTTGTGGCTATTGTGAATGAAATTGCATTCTTGATTTGGCTCTCAGCTTGGATGCTGTTGGTGTATAGGAGTGCTACTAATTTTTTACTTTGATTTTGTGTTATAAAACTTTGCTGAAGTTGTTTATCAGCTCAAAGAGTTTCTGTGAAGAGACCGTGGAGTTTTCTAGTTATATAATCATATCATCTGCAAACAGGGATAGTTTGACTTCCTCTCTATTTGTATATCTTTTATTTTTTCCCTTGCCTGATTGCTCTCACTAGGACTTTCAGTACTGTGATGAACAGGAGAGGTAAGAGAGGGTATCCTTGTCTTGTTCCAGTTTTATAGGGGAAAGCTTCCAGCTTTTGCCCATTCAGCATTATGTTGGCTATGGGATTTTCATAGATGGCTCTTAATATTTTGAGATATGTTTCTTCCATGCCTATTTTGTTGAGGGTTTTAACATGAAGGGAAGTTGAATTTTATGACAGTCTCTTCTGCATCTATTGAGATGATCCTGTGGTTTTTGTTTTTCATTCTGTTTATGTGGTGAATCACATTTATTGATTTATGTTTGGTGAACCAACCTTGCATCTGAAGTTTTCTTTTTGTTTGTTGTGTCTCTGCCAGGTTTTGGTATTAGGATGATGCTGATCTCATGGAATGACCTAAAAAGGAGTCCATCCTACTCAAGTTTTGGAAATAGTTTCAGTAAGAATGGTACCAGCTCTTCTTTATGCATCTGGTAGAATTTGTAAATATGTCTGGTTCTAGGCTTTTTCTGGTTTGTAGCCTTTTTATTACTGATTAGATTTTGGGACTAATTATTGATTTGTTCAGGGATTCAATTTCTTCCTGGTTCAATCTTGGGAGGTTGTGTTTGTTTCCAGGAATCTACCCATTTTTTTCTAGGTTTTCTATAGCTTGTATGCATAGAGATTTTCCTAGTAGTCTGTGAAGATTTATGTATTTCTACAGGGTCAGTGGTAACGTCTGCTTTCTCATTTCTGATTGTGTTTATTTAGATATTCTCTATTTTTTTTATTAGTCTACCAAATACTTTATCTATCTTATTCATTCTTTCAAATAACCAGCTCCTGGATTAATTGATCTTTTGTAGGTTTGTTTCATGTCTCAATTTTCTTTGGTTTACCTCTGATTTTGGTTATTTCTTAACTTCTGCTAGCCTTGGACTTGGTTTGCTCTTGTTTCTCTAGTTCTTAGAATTGTGATGTCAGCTTGTTAATTTGAGAGCTTTCTAACTTTTTGATATGGGTATTTAGTGCTATAAACTTTCCTCTTTACACGGATCTGAATGTGTCCTAGAGATTCTGTTACATTGTATCTTTGTTCTCATTAGGTTCAAAGAATTTCTTGATCTCTGTCTTAGTTTCATTATTTGCCCAGAGCTCATTCAGGAAGAGATTGTTTAATTTCCATGTAATCGTATGGCTTTGAGTAATTTTCTTAGTATTGATTTTTTATTGCACTGTGGTCTGAGCAAGGTTGGTCTGATTTCTGTTATTTTTTTTTTAATTTGCTGAAGATTGTTTTATGCCTGATTGTGTGGTTGATTTTATAGTATGTGCCATATGCAGATAAGAAGACTGTATATTCTGTTGTTTTAGGGTAGAAAGTTCTATAGATGTTTATTAGGTCCATTTGTTCAACTATTCAGTTCAGTTCCTGAGTATCTTTGTTTAGTTTTCTGCCTCGATGATCAGTCTATTTCTCTCAGTGTGGTGTTAAAGTCTCCCACTATCATTGGGTGGTTATATAAGTCCCCTTGTCGGTATCTAAGAGCTTGCTTTATAAATCTGGGTGCTCGTGTTGGGTGCACATGTAGTTAGGACAATTAGGTCCTCTTGTTTAAAATAACTCTTTGCTATTATGTGACATTATGTGATGCTCCACTTTGTCTTTTTTGATCTTTTGGTTTTGTTTTATTTAAAGTCTGTTTTGTCTGAAATTAGAATAGCCACCCCTGCCTTTTTATAATTTCCATTTACTTGGCAGATTTTTCTCCTTCCCTTTACTTTGAGCCTTTGGGTGTCATTGCATGTGAGATGGGTCTCTTGAATACAGCATACATACCATTGGGTTTTGCTTCTTTATTCAACTTGCCACTCTGTGACCTTTATTTGGGGAGTTTAGCCCATTTATATTCAAAATTACTATTGATATGTCTGGATTTGATCCTGTCATCACTTTGTTAACTGGTTATTATGCAGACTTGTTTGTGTGGCTGCTTTATACTGTCATTGTCCTATGTTATTGTGTTTTTGTAGTGGCCAGTAATGGCCTTTACTTTCCATATTTAGCACTCCTTTTAGGACTGCTTGTAAGGCAGGTCTGGTGTTAACAATCCTCCTTAGCATTTGTTTGTCTGAGAAGAATCTGATTTCTCCTTTGCTTATGAAGCTTAGTTTGGCTGGATATGAAATTCTTGGTTGAAAATTCTTTCCCTTAGGAATTCTGAATATAGGACCCCAGTCTCTTCCGGATTGCAGTTTCTGCCATTGGTCTGCTGTTAGCCTGATGGGGTTTTGTTTGTAAGTGACCTGCCTCTTCTCTCTAGTTGCCTTTAACATTTTTTTTCTTTCATTTCAACATTAAGAATTTGATTATTATGTGTCTTGAGGGTAGTCTTCTTGTGTAGTATCTGACAAGGTTTCTCAGCATTTCCTGAATTTGAATGTTGGCCCCTCTACCCAAGTCGGGGACATTTTCATGGCTAATATCTTGAAATATATTTTCCAAGGTGCTTGGTTTTTCTCCTTCTCTTTCAGGGACACCAATGAGTTATAGATTTCCATGAGTACATATTTCTCAGGGGTTTTGTTCATTCTTCTTTATTGATTTAAAAATTTTTTTTCCTGACAAAGTTATTTCACACAGCTACTCTTCAAGTTCTGAAATTCTTTCCTCAGCTTGGTCAATTCTACTGTCAATACTTGCAATTGGATTATGATACTCTTCTAGTTTGTTTTTCAGCTCTGCCTGGTCATTTTGCTTCTTTCTTATAATGGCCATTTTGTCTATCAGCTTCTGTATTTTTAAATTTTAATCCTAACATAACATGGAGAGGGTCTGATTATCTCTTGCATCTCAATGATCTTCATTCCTATCTACATTCTGCATTCTATTTCTGTCATATCAGCCATTTCAGCCTGGGTAAGAAACATTTCTGGTGAAATCATGCAATTATTTGGAGGTAAGGAGATACTCTGGCTTTTTGAGTTGTCAGAGTTCTTTCACTGGTTCTTTCTCATTTGTGTGGGCTGCTGTTCCTTCAATCTTTGAAGTTGCTGTCCTTTGGAAATATTATTCTTTTTTCTTTCTTCATGCCCTTGGGAATTTGATTATGGTATAAGGTGGGTGTGGTTCACTGACTTCTATTCTAGTCTGCTCCTGGGTCTTAGAGAAATCCCCTCTGATTACTGTCTCCATGCTTGTGTTTCTATTGTAGGGTATTCCAGACAATGAGGCTCCCTCAGGTAGTGGCTGCAGTTGGCATATAAATGGCATCCTTGCCAGATCAGCCCCAATCTGCTGTCTGTGTGTTTCATAGGGAAACCAGCTCTGTGCCTGCCTGCACAGTTCAGGTTGAAGCAGGACTACTGACGTAGAAGCCATGGCAGGTATGGCCCATTTGGGTACAAGAGGTGGGATGGCTGGAGTTGCCCCCACACCATCTGGGTATTTTTAGGGAAACAGGAGGTTTCACCCCTTGGCAAATGTAGGCAGAAGTAGTACCACTGGGTTAGAAACTCCAGCAGGTGTGGCTTGCCTGGCTACCAGTGGTGGGATGGGTGGGGAGACCCACGCTGCCATCTGGGTGCTTCCTGGGAAAACAGGAAGCTCTAAGTCTTGTTTTAAATAACTACACATACTAAAAGCTACTAAGGATTAAATTTTAGCTTCCTATTCAGTGAATATTTTGAATAAAATTTTCAACTTTGAATAAATTTCAACTGAAATATAGGTGTTGCCTTACGTAATGTTAAATACCACACATGGTTCTTTAGGTTGATTTATAAAATAGTTTTTCCAAGGGCAGACATTTCTAAAATATAACTGATAAGAGGCATCAGAGTGCAAAAGAACATAATATGCAGAATTTTGTTTTGTTTTGTACAAGAGCTACATAACTAAAATTTTGTATTTTAATTACATTCTGTCTGTATGTATATGTATGAGTAAACTCAGATAACTACAAGTTCTATTTCAATTGGTAAAATATGTCAGCTAATAATAACCTTACAGTAGCATTCAGAGTAATGTCTGATGTTTAACCTTTGACAGAATGAATTTTTAATGACTTCACTTTGATTTCACAAATTGGATTTTAAAAATTAACCTGTATCAGGAATCAACAGACTTTGTATTTGAAGTTATCTGATGGCATTGATATATACTGGGATCACTTTATTATCTATGAAGTTCCATTAGCATAGCCACATATTGATGGTTATTTCATTTTTCATAGTGCATAAGAAAACTTGCAGATGAATATAGTGAAAAAATTTTTGGAAAGAAATCTTTGAATGCAAATTTGGTTTTCATAGGGAGGTGTGTAAACACACTTTCAGCAGTTACTCTTGCTAAATTATTATATTTGGGTGCACATTTTTTCACATGTCAACTAGCTTTATACTGATTGTTCAACAAATTCAAGTCGCAGAGTTCCCTTGTGCTTCATTGTGTCACCAATGTGGGTGGTAAATGTGCATGAACATTTTGTGAGATTACATTTTCGATATCAACTATCCTAAATAATAGAAACTCAGAACTTATTTTTCCATTGCACATGTACTTGTTTGGGCTTATTGCTGCTTTTTTTTTAAATAATACAGAACAACAAAGACAAAAGCATGACCATATAACAAATATAGAATTGTAGTTTTGAACCACAAATGACAAAAAAAATCATTATAACAAAACATCTGGACTACTAAGTGTTCTACTGCAGGATTACTCTGTCTTTGTATAATACATATATTTAAAATATAGCCAATAAAAATTGACAGAATTTCTCATTAACCCTGGTAGCTTTTGGTATCTTCTAAGCTTCAGCAAGGGTCATGGCACACTAGTTATTTTCAAGTGGTCAGCACGGATAGCCACATAGAAGAGTGCACCTCATTTTATTAGTTAGCATGCTGTCCTTAAATATGTTGGGTCTTTTGCTTCTGGAAAAGGTCCAGAAATTAGAACTGGGTTTTTGGTTGTCTTTCAGACTGAAATGTATTAGAATTCAATTCTCTACCCATGAGTGTCTCACACAATACAATAGAGAGAATACCAGAAGATGAAAATAAAAATTAGAGATATGCCAAACCCATCCTAAATTAATGCAACTATTGATAATGATTTTAAACAACAAAAAATCAGGAACAACTGCTAAATGCACCATAAAGGTCTTGGGGACAATAAATATAACCTGGATATCTCCCAGGGAAACCAACATTTAGTCACACACAATATTGTGAAGTTCTTTACCATAGAACCACAACTAAAATGGTCACCTATTTAGAGTTCTGTTGATTATTCCCATTAGTTTGGGCAAGTTCCTTTATTTCTATAAACTCATAAAGTTGGTATGAAGATTGAGTTCTAGGAAAGAGAAAAGCTCCAAGTCTGATAGCTAGAAATATTAAGAGTAATTATCTAGATGGATTTTCAGTGACCATAATAGTTAAATAATCTCATTTTTAGCCCAGTTACACTTAGGTACTTTGAGTCTATTTAGTAAACTTAATCTGAAATCAAAACTAAAATTCTTATATCACAATGAATATGCTTAAAAATGCTGAATGTATTTTAAAATAGAAAACACATTGGATTAAAGATTACTTGGATATTCAGTTGCTTGCTTAGTGATGGAGGTGTGAAAATGGAAAACTATGAGCAGTAACAGAGAGGTCCTTTTGCCATTAACATCTGTTACAGCCACAATTATTAATATTGTTACCATTTTTCACAGCAGGAATGATTTCCATCTCCATTTTATATTACAACAAATAATTTGGGAAATGATTAATGAGATTTTTAATTATAGATTGAATTTATCTTAAAACAATCTGTGCCACTACAGCTGGAAAGGATCAGGCTTTAATTACAACCAGGAAAAACTCCACAGTGAAACCAATCATGTCCATTTTAGGGTGCACAGACCTTCTCCATGCCTGCTTCACCTTCACACTTGACTGCTTAGCTCCATTTTTTAACACATGGTGCTAATGAGGCCATGGCCATGTTTTCACTGCCCATATGTGCCAGTTAGCTTCACTGTTCCAGTGCTACAGATTGTTTTCGTAAACTTGGGCTGCCAACTCAACAATTTCTCCACTCATTCACCAGGGGGATCTGGCAAAAAAAAAAAAAAAAAAAAACCATGGACTATCTGTTGTAAAGTTAAAACAAGGGCTGATTGCTTGGGGATAAGAGTAAGAAGGCTTATCTTGAAAATCATAGTCTTCAAAACGGCATGTTAATTCAGAGGTTTCTTCTGACTTGATTATTTTTAGTTTAAGAAATAACTATTTAAGGGAGGCAGCATAAAAAGAACACTAGACCAGGAATTTGAAATCTGGATTTTATTCTGATCTCTTTTTCAAATAGATGCATGACCTTGAAATACCATCAAATTAGCCTACGCTCATTATCCTCTGGAAAGTTTGAGGGTTGCCTCACATAATTGCCAAGGAAGCAAGCTCTAATAGTTTATAATTCTATAATTAAACATGCCAAGCATTGGAAGCATTGTTTGATGATGAGGCTTCAGGCTGGAAAGGGGAACTGATGCATCTTAAAAACTCGAACTGTGTCTCAGGCAGATGGTTGTTAGTTGTTAGTTGTCAGGATCTCTTGTTGAGCAAAGATGTGCTCCCACGGACTTACAGGTGCTTCTGTTTTGTAGCACTGGTTTTGCAGTTTTGTTGCTTACAGGAGGAGTGCAAATCAGCCATCAGGCCAGGGGGAGAAATACATGATATTGGTCTTGATGAATTTGCTCACTAACTATCTTTCTTCTGTTTGTCTCAGCAGACTTCTGCCCGGGGCGTGGAATGAGTACATTCTTCCCTGTCAAGTCCTGGGAATTATTTTCCACCATGAGCACAGTGCTCTTTTTAGCTTTGCATCACTGAGTAACTGTCAGGAGACAAGCGCTATGACAAGAAAAATCCATCCTTAAAACCGTCTGTTTATTTGTACCCAAAGACATGTTGTTGAGGTTAGAGGTTGGTGTAAAATCTTCTGATATATAGGTGCATATACATACATACACACACAGACACATGCACAAGCTAGAAAAGTTCTTGCTTACTAATTTAAAGAAGACTATAACTATATTTACATTAGGGTCTAACATAGGGACTTATTTCTTTTAACAAATATAGGCTGGATAAGAATTATAACTAAGTTGGTAATGCAACTCTAATTGAGGGAATTAAATTATTATACCTAATAAAAATCACAGCACTCATTTTTACTTTATCCATAGTAACTACAATGGGAGGGATAGAGTGGGAATTTTTTTATTTATGAATGAATATATTTGCATGGATTACAAGTTGAGAAATAACTCCAATTTGATGTTAAATATCAATGAAAACAACCATAAAGGTTTCACAAAAGTGTGCTAGAATTAATGAACTTGAAAAATAATTCAACTAATCAGCAGTTTGATGGGTTTAGAGCAAAAATTAGAGAAATGGAAGAAAGGGTAAAACTATTGGAAAAACACAGTAGGGAATGTAAGTAGAGTGTGAAAACTGCTGCGGAACAGATTGCTGTTATAATTAGAGACAATATTTCACTCTCCTTTAAATACAAGTCCCTGGAAATTGCTCTGAGTGAAAGAGGGGGAGGCACAGCTGTTTGAGTGTACAGCTGGTGGGAATGACAAAGACTATAGTCAGACGTAAACCAGTTAAAAAAATAGACTAGCTAAGTAACAGTAACACCTGGCTTGAGCATAATGACAAATATGCATTATTCTTAAGGAAATAAAACATAGAGGGTTTTTATGGAGAATACAAAAATTTCTACCTGGTAATAAATATGTTTCATGCATATAAGAATCTCTACAACTAGTGGCTCACGCCTGTAATCCCAGCACTTTGGGAGGCCAAGGCGGGTGGATCACCTGAGGTCAGCAGTTCGAGACCAGCCTGGCCAACATGGCAAAACCCCATCTCTACTAAAAATACAAAAAATTAGCTGGGCATGGTGGCACGTACTTGTAATTCCAGCTACTCAGAAGGCTGAGGCAGGAGAATCACTTGAACCTGGGAAGTGGAGGTTGCAGTAAGCAGAGATTGCGCCACTGCACTCCAGCCTGGGCAACAAGAGTGAGACACCGTCTCCAAAAATATATATGTATAAAAAGAATCTCTCCAACTATTCATTGTACAAAGAGGTAAAAACCTAAATCTAAAAGAACAATATATATTGAAATATTATGAGACTAATAGCATTAATTGTAGCACTCATATTTAATTGTATCCTTTGTTATACATAAATCTTGAGAATAAGTGATCAAATACTTGGTGATTAATAAAAAATCTCCTCCCTGTAATAGTCAAAAGAATATTCAGTAAGTGTCCTGGAAGGATACTCCACACACCCAGTTACTGGTCTCACCCTTCCTCTGTGCATTCTTTGGAAACTTGCACAGACTCAACCTGCTCACTTATTTTGTCTTGCCATAAAAGTGCTAGACAAATAAGAAAAATGAGTATGTACGCTTTTGGCTTACAGCTGACCAAAATCTCAGAAATACCAGGATTGTACAGCTTGTTCTCTCATCTTTTAATGTTATCAAATATTAACATCTACATGAGATTTTTTTTCATAGCACACAGCAAACAATTCCTACCAGTGCCTTAGCTTTACAACTGTACAAGCAGATCCATCCTGTAGATATTCTTAAAGAGGCTGTTATGGTATTTGCCAAGAACAAATTATCCTGTGAGTGAGGGTGTTGTCTGAGATGAGATAGCGACTTTGTGAACTGACCCATAAGAATTCACAGACCATCTCTGTTTCACCTTCTCCCAATTATATTCACATGCAACCCAAGAAGTTTGATAATTCTTACCTCTTCAACAAAGACAATTTTCCCTTTTCTAGTCTTCACCTCATTCTGCCAGGAAAAAGAAAAGGATGTACAGAGGGGCAAGTTGTCTGATGAGAATCCAAATAGCCAATATATCTTTCTTGTGGACCCCTTCCTCTCTATTTATTGCTCCATGGAATATTTATACCTCATCACCATGAGGAAAGGGGCCAAACCTTTTCTGGTAAGTTAGACATATTTTTAGTCAGAGTTTACACTGTGTTTTACTAGCTCTGGTTTAATCAGTAGTTGTTGATAAATTTAGTGTATAAAAGTAAGAGATGTAACAATCCTCATTGCATCTCCCCTTTGCTTGTATATAAAACAAGTATTTGTCATATAAATATAAATATTTTAATAATCAGTCATTTGTAAGGGTGTCTTGGCTACCTATGCCAATCAATAAAGTGATTCCATTTTTATTTTGGAGGATATGGGTCACATGAGAAAGAATGAGGCCAAATTTCTGATAACAAAGATTAAGTGTAGTCTGAAAACTGTTATTAGGTCAACAAACAAGGTGATTCCAACAATGTTTGCAAACAAAAAGCTTTTTGCTCATACTTCTTAGAAAATTTTTTACTCATTTGTCAGAACAAAATTTTAGCTCAATTTCTTAGTGGAACTTCTCTGAAGCCCTGGATTTGATATCATTATCTTCTATAATTTCCCATAATATTTCATGTTTATTGATCACATTTTTAAGCATTTATTTAATAGCTATATTTCACATTAGAAGATTTCTGTATAAACACAGAGAAAATATCTATAGTGTCTGAAAGGACATGGCACATATTAAAAGCAAATAAATATTACAGATTATTAATTATTTATTTATCCACCCATCATCTCCACAGATATTGCCTGAGCACCTGCCCTTGCACAACTTTCATTCTACAAGAAGGGGTCTGGCAATAAAACGTTTAAGTAAAATGTCCAGTTTGTAGGAAGAAAATAAATGTTAAAGAAAAAAGAAAAAATAGAACAGGGTGAGAAGGATTAGGAGTGCCGGCATGGAGGGTGGCCTAAGACAGGCTTATTGAGAGCATGTGATTAGAGTAAGTCTGAAGGAGGTAAAGGAAATTTCCCTTGAATTTCTAACTGAAAACTGCTCCATGCAGAGAAGAGTCAGGAAAATGTCTAGTATGTTCAAGAGATAGAAATTACTTTTGTTGAAATAGTACCAAGAATCCAGGTGCATTCTTATTTTATTTTTCCTTCCTAAGGAGTCTTTGTATTTTTATTTTTAGTTTTCAGAATGGCTTTATTGATTACCCATGAATTATTTTCACTGTTATGAAGACAAGAATCCAAATACTGTCTTTTGACACCACAGATCTGTTTTCCAACAGAGACATCCCTTCCTTCCATCTGAAATAACCATGGAGAAAATAGAGTTGAGATGTAATAGAGCTTAAAATCAACTTTATTAAATTGAATTTCTCCAGAATTGAGAAGACATCTCACTTTTCCTATAGCCTTCAGGTAAACAATTACAAAGAGGTATTTTAATAACCACTTAGGCACACAAGGACAGCTCTTCAGGTGGTCTCAGAGAGGATAAAAAATTGCATATGTCATCTGCCAGAACAGATACTAAATTACTTTAGCCTACAGAAACTTTCTATTTGTCTAGAAGGCATTTATTTTCCCACTTGAGGTGTTGGGAAAACAATAGGCTAAACTTCCTATGACAGAAAATACATCAGTGAAAACTCAGTATCTCTTTAATCTTTTATTATATACTCTGTTACTAGTGGCCTAAACTTTCTGTGACAGAACATACATCAGTGAAAACTCAGCATCACTTTAATCTTTTACTGTGTCCTCTGCTACTATATCTCTGTGATTACTGTTAGCATATCATGATTATTTGTTCATTTTTCTTTGTATGCATGTTTTTTACATTTTACACAGTATATTCAATCAAAATAATACGTAGATCACGTAGGTTTAAATTGAATGCTTTCTGTAGTTTGTTTAATCTGTACATTGAATGCTACCTTTATAAGTGCCTTATTTTTGGAAACATGTCAATATAATCAATCCATCAACATTTGTTAATATACTAGCAACTATTTGATTAACTGTAAGTATTATTTCACTACTATATCTCCCTTTGACTGTGTTTTTACCTTAGAAAATTTGTGGTAATTTATGCTAAAATAGGAAAAAATGAGCACAACAGTATAAGCATTATCAAATTCCTTTTGAAATTTAATTCTTATGTACAATTTTGTGCAAATTTTTATTTTACATAAAAATGTTATCTCCTGTAGTGACTTCTTCAATTAAGACTGAATACAAAAGATTTAATATGCTTCTAAGATTTATATACATTTTTACTGAATTGTGAATGCATTGAGCAATATTTACCATATCAATGTTGGAAATATCTTAACATCATGTTGAGGAATTGATATTCATACATAAAAAGAAAAATGAGAATATGTATAAATACAGTGTGTATATGTGTTTGCATGTGTCTAAATTTGACCAAATATACTATTTAATAAATGGATCTGGGAAAACTGGCTAGCCATATGTAGAAAGCTGAAACTGGATCCCTTCCTTACACCTTATACAAAAATTAATTCAAGATGGATTAAAGACTTAAACGTTGGACCTAAAACCATAAAAACCCTAGAAGAAATCCTAGGCATTACCATTCAGGACATAGGCATGGGCAAGGACTTCATGTCTAAAACACCAAAAACAATGACAACAAAAGCCAAAATTGACAAATGGGATCTAATTAAACTAAAGAGCTTCTGCACAGCAAAAGAAACTACCATCAGAGTGAACAGGCAACCTACAAAATGGGAGAAAATTTTCGCAACCTACTCATCTGACAAAGGGCTAATATCCAGAATCTACAATGAACTCAAACAAATTTACAAGAAAAAAACAAACAACCCCATCAAAAAGTAGGTGAAGGACATGAACAGACACTTCTTAAAAGAAGACATTTATGCAGCCAAAAAACACATGAAAAAATGCTCACCATCACTGGCTATCAGAGAAATGCAAATCAAAACCACAATGAGATACCATCTCACAACAGTTAGAATGGCAATCATTAAAAAGTCAGGAAACAACAGGTGCTGGAGAGGATGTGGAGAAATAGGAACACTTACACTGTTGGTGGGACTGTAAACTAGTTCAACCATTGTGGAAGTCAGTGTGGTGATTCCTCACGGATCTAGAACTAGAAATACCATTTGACCCAGCCATCCCATTACTGGGTATATACCCAAAGGACTATAAATCATGCTGCTATAAAGACACATGCACATGTATGTTTATTGTGACACTATTCACAATAGCCAAGACTTGGAACCAACCCAAATGTCCAACAATGATAGACTGGATTAAGAAAATGTGGCACACATACACCATGGAATACTATGCAGCCATAAAAAATGATGAGTTCATGTCCTTTGTAGGGACATGGATGAAATTGGAAATCATCATTCTCAGTAAACTACTGCAAGAACAAAAACCAAACAGGGCATATTCTCACTCATAGGTGGGAATTGACCAATGAGAATACATGGACACAGAAAGGGGAACATCACACTCTGGGGACTGTTGTGGGGTAGGGGGAAGGGGGAGGGATAGCATTAGGAGATATACCTAATGTAAATGATGAGTTAATGGGTGCAGCACACCAGCATGGCACATGTGTACATATGTAACTAACCTGCACATTGTGCACATGTACCCTAAAACTTAAAGTATAATAATAATAAAATAAAATTTTAAAAAAATCCAAAAAAAATTATGAATACATTTGAGAAACAATCTGATAAAGAGAAAAAATACAGTCATAAGCCCCTGAAACAATCTGAAATATTATGTCAAAATTTTCCTTTTCAGTGGTTATAAAAGAGGCATTAAACAAAACATCTACTCCTAAATTGTGTCAAATCAAAGTTCACTTTGGGCGGAAAGACAAGTGTGGCCAACATCTTGTTTAGTATTTAAACTGTGCATTAAACTGTGGTTTATGAACTTGTTTCATATGATGACTTCTTTTTTTTCTTGAAACTAAGTCACACTCTGTCTCCCAAGATGGAGTGCAGCGGTGTGACCTTGGCTCACTGCAACCTCTGCCTCCCAGGTTCAAGCAATTCTCCTACCTCAGTCTCCTGAGTAGCTGGGACTACAGGCGCCCACCACCAGGCCTGGCTAATTTTTGTATTTCTAGTACAGATGGGGTTTCACCATGTTGGCCAGGCTGGTCTCAAACTCCTGACCCCAAATGATCCACTCACCTCAGCCTCCCAAAGTACTGGGATTACAGGCGTGAGCCATCGCACCCAGCCTCATATATGACTTCTAATTAATTAATATGAACAAAATCTTTGTCTACAATTCCTATATGAACATATAATTTATAAATGGAAAAACCTATAAGGGTGTAGCTATTTAAATGGTTTTTAAATGGGTTCTTTTTATTTGTCAATTTATGCTATAAAATCTAGGAACTGACAGACTGTATACTTTAGCCCTACAAATCCTGTTTGACTTCTGTCTTCAGCAAAAGTATGTGACTGCTTGGTGTTTCTGTCTTCCTACAGTGCCCATGTTATAATAATTTAGGAGTGTTTTGTGCAGATCTCATCTGAGCACCATGTATAGGTCCATTTCTTCTGTAACACTTGAATTTAAATTAGAAAATCTTCATAATTAATCAGGTAATATTTATATAAATATCAGTATAAAACCGCATGCAAACATTTGTTATATAAAATATTTTTTCTAAAAAGAATAAACAAACTGAATCATGACCAATAATCCAGGTGAGTTGCTTTAAGTTGAATATGAACTGAATAAACACATAAAAGTAATTTTTCATATTTTAGTTTCATTGAATTAATGATATTTCTTATTTGTTCTTGGAAAAATACATGTGTTTATAAAATTTATATAATTAAAACCCATCAATATTTGTTAATGTATAGATTATTTTATTAAATAAAAATATTATTTCATGAATACATCTAACATTGAATATCTACGTGTTTTTAATTTGGGACATTTATAGTCATGTGTGGCAACATAGGAAAAAGTAGAACATGTATAACTTATACCTCCTTTCACCTATGTGTTTTGTCATCTCAGTTACTAACTTCCATAATAAATCAATAAATATTTGCAGTTGTCATATCAATTAGAATTACTTTCAGTTGAATGAATCAGTAATTTGGTTACATCAGATAGGGATTTTTTTTCTGTTCCATACGTAGTATTGGAGAATATTCAGAGGAAGTATGACAGTTCCATTATGTCCTCAGTTACCTTAACTGTTCTTAACTTTCCATTCCACTTTCCTTAGCATGTAGCACTCATTCTCATTCTTGCAAAATGGCTTTTACATCTCTAAGCATTATACGTGTGCTCCAATGTGGAAGATGAAGGAAAGAAGAAAGGCAATAGTCAAAAGATACAAATTCATTTAATAGCTCTGTCAATTCTAACAAGCTAGAAGTAAGAGACAAAGCAAATTTTATTATATGAAAAGCACCTACAAATACATATTTTAAAGTTTTCTCTCTATATATAGGAAGATATTCCTTATACTATATATACCTTCTAGTTTCCTTTTGTGGTTAGAAACTGGAGATTAAATGTGGGTGATTAACAGCTGTTTAAGAGGAAGTTATAATTTTTGCCAATAAGAGGATTACTGTAAAAATTTATTTTCCTCTTGGCTGGAGCATTTTAGATTTACAATATTTTCAGATACTATGTGGCATTCAAGTATATTCAAGTGCACTTTTTAATTTTAGTACTGGATGTTTTTAGAGCAGTTTTAGATTCACAGCAAAAATAAGAGAGAGGCACAGAGATTTCTTATCTCTTCTCTGTTGTTACACATGTATACCCTCCCCCATTATCAACATTCTGCAACAGAGTGGTACACATGTTGCAACTGATAAAACTACATTGACATATGATAATCACCCAAAGTTCATCGTTTGCATTAGGGTTCACCTTAGGTATTGTACAGTCTATGCAAGTGCACATTTGAAGAAAGCATAGGCTTGCTACAGGATTCTATTAATATAATGAAGAGATTCCACTTGTGTAAATACAGTAGAGGGATATTACATTAGTCTCATTAACCCATTAAACCTCTTGTTGTTTCAACCCAACTGTAACAAGGCTTATATGGAGTAGGGTAGACCAGAATGTTTGACTGAGTGAAAATTAATTGGCAACACCAAAACATGCCAAGAGATTCTAAGTACATAAAACTAAATGTGTTTTGAAATGATTGTACATATGTTTAACTTTTTCTTGTTTACATCCAATGGCAAACCTGTGAAGATATTTAACTTTTAATTTTATTGTTAATTTTTAGGAACACATAGTAGTTGTAAATATTTATAAGGTACATATGATATTTTGATACAAGCCTCTAAAGTATAATGATCAAATCTGGGTATTTGGAAGATTCATTATCTCAAACGTTGATCATTTATTTATGATGGGGTATTTAAAATCTTTTCTAGCTATTTTGAAATATAAAATACATTACTGTTAACTATATTTCCCCAATTGTGCTACCAAACACTACATCCCTATCCTTCTATAAAACTTATTTAAATTCAATAGCTTATTGAAAATTCTAGAAAAGTATCTGCTTTGTAGTAAACACTTGATAAAACGTAGTTCACTTGTGAAACAAATAAATCATTTTCTTTAAACAATCAAATTCATTTATATACAGAATTGTTCCTTTATAGTGTGGGTAGAAGTTGCCATTTCATAATTCACTGGTTTTCAAATTTTGGGAGCTCAAAACCCTTTCAAAATAATACTTTTATGCAGACCTCCAATGTAGCAAATGTTTGTAAAACTGCTGTAATTAAAACAGAATTCTCCAGAGCTCTGCTCCCTCTGTCTCCCAAACCATCCCTTGAGGCTTCTGAGGCAACTCCAAATTGCCCGAGAATTTTTAAAAATGTATTGAATCTAGTAAAACAGGCCATGCAGATAATTATACTTCTAGCTTAATATAATCTTTTCAGTTTGGAATAAACTCATTTATCTATATTGTTGATTGTCAAATGATAATGAATTTAGTATTTAATACTAAATGTTCTTTTTAAACTTTTTAAAAAGAATACTAATGTTCTTTTTAAAAAGTAATTTTATTAAAGTTGCTCATTGTGATATGTTAAAACTTAAGAAAACTTTAACCTTGTGAGAAATAAGCTATTGAATGAGGCTGTTGGTTTGCACCCCTCTGTCTTCTAATTTGTTAGGATGTGCCACTCCCTCCATTCTTTCTTTTGTAGAGTTACCTCTGTTTTCCTCATATACTAATCTGGGAATCAAAATGTCTGTATTTAATTATTTTAATTTGGATTTTTGTCCAACATTTTAAATCTAGGTTAAGTGATAGAAGCACATAAAGTTGGATAACTTGCAATTTATGTCTGTGACAATTTCAGCTGCCAGAGTGCCAAGATAGCAGTAGTGACATCATTTGATCATAGCTCCTCTGGTATGACCTTAGTTCTTATACACTATCCAAGCGTGGCTTAATATTCCTCCCATTCTATAGGATCCCATTCTATTTTATCCCATTCTATAGGTTGTCTGCTGACTCTGTTGATAGTTTCTTTTGTTATGCAGAAGCTCTTTAGTTTAATTAGGCCCTATTTGTCAATTTTGTTTTTGTTGCAATTACTTTGGGCATCTTTGTCATGAAATCTTTGTTAGGTCCTATGTCCAGGATTATATTTCTTAGGTTATTTTTCAGGGTTTTACACTTAATGTTAGCCAAAAGGCCAAGAAGAAATCTCCAGGGTTTTTGTAGTTTTAGGTTTTACATTAGTCTTTAATCCATCTTGAGTTGACTTTTTAAATATGGTATAAGGAGGTATATAGTCCAGTTGCAGTCTTCTGCATATGGTTGGTCAGTTATCCCAGCACCATTTATTAAATAGAGAATCCTTTCCTCATGGCTTGTTTTTCTTGACTTCATTGAATATTAGATGACTGTAAGTGTACAGAAATATTTTTGGGCTCTGTATTCTATTCCAGTGGTCTATGTGTCTTTTTTTTTTTTTTTTTAACCACTACCATGCTGTTTTGGTTACTATAACCTTGTAACATAGCTTTGTTGGTTTTGCTTAGAATTCTCTTGGCTATTTATGCTCTTTTTTGGTTCCAAGTGAAGTTTAAAATAGTTTGTTTTCTAATTCTGTGAAGAATGTCATTGGTAGTTTGATAAGAGTAGCACCGAATTTGTACGTTGCTTTGGGCATCATGGCCATTTTAACAATATTGATTCTTCCTATTATTGATCATGAAATGGTTTACCATTTGTTTGTGTCATCTCTGATTTCTTTGAATAGTGTTTCATAATTCTCAATGTAAAGGACTTTCACCTCGTTGGGTTAGTTGTATTCCTAGTATTTTATTCTTATTACGGCTATTGTGAATGGCATTGAATTCTTGATTTGGCTGTCAGCTTGTATGTTGTTGGTGTATAAAGGTGTTACTAATTTTTGTACATTGATTTTGTGTCCTGAAACTTTGCTGAAGTTGTTTATCTGCTTAAGGAACTTTTGGGCAGACTATGGGTTTTTCTAGGTATAGAATCATATTGTCTGAAAACAGAGATACTTTGATTTCCTCTCTTCCTATTTGGATGCCTTTCATTTCTTTCCCTTGCCAGATAGATCTATCAATAACTTCCAGTCCTATGGTGAATAGGAATGGTGAGAGGTGGCATCCTTGTCTTGATCTGGTTTTTAAAGAGAATACTTCTTGCTTTTGCCTATTAAGCATGATGGCTATGGGCTTGTCATAGATGGTTCCTATTATTTTGAAATATGTTTCTTCCATGCCTATTTTGTTGAGGGTTTTTAACATGAAGTGATGTTGAATTTTATCAAAAGCCTTTTCTTCATCTATTGAAATAATTATATGGCTCTTGTTTTTAGTTCTGTTTGTGTGATGAATCACATTTATCGATTTTTTTTTACATTTACTGATTTGTATATGTTGAATCAACTTTGCATCCCAGGGATAAAGCATACTTGATCATGAGGGATTATATTTTTGATGTGCAGGTAGATTCAGCTTACTAGTATTCTATTGAGGATTTTGCATCTATGTTCATCAAGGATATTGGTCTGACATTTTCTTTTTCTGCCAAGTCTTTCCCAGGTTTTGGCATCAGTACGATGGTGATCTCATAGAATGAGCTAAGGAGGAATTCATATTCTTTAGTTTTTTCAAGATACTTTCAGAATGGTACCAGCTCTTCTTTATACATCTGGTAGAATTCAGCTATCTGGTCCTGGGCTTTTTCTGGTCGGCAGGCTTGTTATTACTGATTCAATTTCAGGACTCATTATTAATTTGTTCAGGGATTTAATTTCTTCCAGTTTAATCTTGGTGGTCGTATGTTTCCAGGAATTTACCCATTTCTTCTAGGTTTTCTAACTTATATACACTGAAGTGTTCCTAGTAATCTCTGAGGGCTTTTTGTATTTCTGTATGGTCAGTGTTAATATCCCCTTTGTCATTTTTGATTGTGGTTATTTGAATATTCTCTCTTTTTTTCTTTATTAACCTATCTAGTTGTCTATTTCTCTTATTGATTCTTTCAAAGAACCAGCTCCTGGATTTGATAATCTTTTGTGTGGTTTTTCACGTCTCAATTTCCTCCAATTCAGCTCTGATTTTGTTTTTTGTTTTTGTTTTTGTTTTTTTTTCCTTGTCTTCTCCTAGCTTTGGGGTTGATTTGCTCTTGTATCTCCAGTTCCTCTCAGTATGATGTTAGATTGCTGATTTGAGATCTATCTTACTTTTCAACGTGGTTGTTTAGCACTATAAATTTTCCTCTTAACACTGTTTGTTTTTGCTGTGTCCCAGAGATTCTAGCATGCTGTGTCTTTGTTCTCATTAATTTCAATACATTTCTTGATTTATGCCTTAATTTTTTGCTTACCCAAAGGTCATTCAGGAGCAGGTTGGTTAATTTCTATGTAATGGTATGGTTTTGTGTGGTTTTCTTAGCATTGATTAGTATTTTTATTATGCTGTGCTCTGAGAGTGTGTTTGGTAAACAAAACTCTGACAGTTATTTTGCTTTTGCTGCGGATTGTTTTATGTATGATTATGTGATCAATTTTAGAGTATTTGTCATGTGCAGATGGGAAGAATGTATGTTTTGTTGTTTTGGGGTGGAGAGTTGTGTAGATGTCTACTAGGTCCATTGGGTCAAATGTCAAGTTCGGATTCTGAATGTCTTTTTCAGTTTTCTGCCTCAGTGGTCTGTCTAATACTGTCAGTGGAGTGTCGAAGTTTCCTACTATTATTGTGAGGCAATCTAAGCCTCTTCATAGGTCTCTAAGAGCTTGTTTTATGAATTGAGTGCTCTTGTGTTGTGTGTATATATATATTTCGGTTTGTTGTCTTGTTGAGTCAAACTCTACCATTATGTAATGCTCAACTTTTTTTTTAATCTTTGTTCATTTAAAGTTTGTTGTGTCTGAAATTAGAATAGTAACCACTGCTTTTTTATATTTCCCATTTGGTTGGTAGATTTTTCTCCATTCCTTTACTTTGAGTCTATGGGTATCATTGCATGTGAGATGGGTCTCCTGAAGACAGCATACCATCAGGTCTTGCTTCTTTATCCAGCCGGCCACTGTTTGCCTTTTAATTGGGGCATTAATTTTGTTTACAGTCAAGGCTAATGTTGATACGTGCAGATTTGATCCTGTCATTATATTATCAGCTGGCTATTATGCAGACATGTTTGTGTGGTTGTTTTACAGTATCAATGATCTATGTACTTAAGTTTGTTTTTGTAGTGGCTGGTTATAGTCTTTCCATATTTAGCACTTCTTTCAGGGCCTCTCTTATGACAGGTCTGGTAGGAACAAATTCCTTTAACATTTGCTTGTCTAAAATAATCTTATTTCTCCTTTGCTTATGAAGCTTAGTTTAGCTGGATATGAAATTCTTGCTTAGAGGTTCTTTTCTTTAGGAATGCTAAATATAAGCCTTCAATCTCTTCTGGCTTGTAGGGTTTCTGGTGAAATATTTCTTAAATGCCCTTTCTCTTTAGCTGTCTCTAACATTTTTTCTTTCACTTCAAGCTTGGAGAATCTGATGAGTATGTATCTTGGGGATGGGCTTCTTGTGTAGTATCTCATAGGGATTCTCTGCTTTTCCTGAACTTGAATGTTGGCCTCTCTAGTGAGGTTAGGGAAACTTTCATGAACCATATTCTAAAGTGTGTTTTCCAAATTGCTTTCTTTCTCCCCCATCTTTCAGGGATGCCAATGAGTTGTAGACATAGTCTCTGTACATAATTCCATGTTTCTTGGAGGTTTTGTTCTATTCTTTTTTAAAAAATTTTTGCCTGACTGAGTTAGTTTAGATAGCCAGTCTTCAAATTCTGAGATTCTTTCCTACCTTGGTCTATTCTGCTGTTAATATTTGTGATTGCATTATGAAATTCGTGTAGTGGGGTTTTCAGCTGTATCAGATCAGTTTGTTTCTTTTTATAATGGTCATCTTGTTTACCAGCTCCCATATTGTTTTGTTGTAAACCTTAATTTCCTTGAATTGGGTTTCAATTTACTCCTGAATCTAGATGATCTTCATTCCTATCCATATTCTAAATTCGATTTCTGTCATTTTAGCTACTTCATTCTGGTTAAGAACTCTTGCTGGTGAAGTAGTGTGGTCATTTGGAGGTAAGAAGAAACTCTGGCTTTTTGAGTTACCAGAGTTCTTGTGCTGGTTCTTTCTCATCTGTGTGGGTTGGTGCTCCTTTAACTGTGGTGCAATTTGAGTACCATCAGTTGACTTCTTTTCTATATGTTTCCAGAAGGCCAAGGCTTTGTGCAAGTCTTTATCTGTAGCTGAATTCTCATCCATGGTTTCACAGGAGTGTATGTTAGTATTTTTGGTATTGAAGTTTGGGCTTTGATCCAACAGATGGCATATAACCAAAGAATGTGTAGACAGGCTTTTGCTCAGCCATGTGACTCCTCTGTATTTCCTCATGATTGCTGCCATGCTACCTCTCAATGCTCTGAAAGTGTGTGCTCCTCTCCCACTGGAGTGCTGGCTGCAGTTCTCAGCTTGGCACTCCTGGGTTTCACACTGCAGCACTGGGGCAAGCTCAGGCTTTATGTTCCCTTCCCAGCTAGGAGGCAGTAGGAGGAGGGACCATGACAGTGCCTGAGGCAGAGGACCTTTTACTTGTCTCCTGGGGCTCCACCCCAGAGAGAGATGCAAAGTGGCTTTCCATTAGTGTGACTGGCCTGTGGTGGGGCAGCTGTGTTCTGGACCAAAACCAGGGCACCTTACCTGGAGATGAACAGTGGCAGTAGTAGACAGACTTTCAGTTGCCTCTGGGATCTCCACCTCAGAAAAACACAGAGCCACTGCTACTAGAACTGGTCAGCAAGGGTCTGGGGCTGCTACACTGCTGGCCCAACTGTTGGCCCCACTTGATGAAAAGCTGGTGGTTGAGGGCTCACAGTTGGGAGAGAGTGGGCAACTTTCCAGATGGTGACTGTGTTGTGTTGGAAATGAGTAAAGCCCACAGGCTCTTTGTTTCTTCTTCAGTCTGAGGGCAGCAGGGACAGAACTGCTGCAGGGACAGAGAGCCTTTTTTTTGCTTCTGGGAGCCACTCTCAGGGAAACACAGAGCCACTGGCAGTGGAAATGCTTGGCTGTGGGTAGAAGACAGCTGCTGTGTGTTCCCAAGCTGGGGGCCCTGACTGGTGAAGAGTGAGGGGTGGGGGCTCACAGGGAAGAGCAACTGGACTCCTTTCTATATAGTGGCTGTGGTGTCCTGGTGGTCCAGTGTAGTGATCAGGCCCTTTGTTTCTTTCCCAGACTGAGGGCAATAAGGTCATTACCACTGCAGTTGCAATGGGAGAGGGCCTGTAGGCTGTTTCTAGGATTCCCTCCTCAGAAAAATGCAGAGTTGCCACTGATTGAAGTGTCCAGATGGGGGAAATGTGGTTGTACTGGGGTTCAAGGTGGAGAAACACTGCCCAGTGAAGAGTAGTGGAGGTGGGGACCTGTGTGGAAAATAGTCTGGCCACTTTTCCATAAGGCTGTTGCACTGTGCCCAGGATCTTCATCAGTAGCTAATCACTGTGCTCCCTCCCATATCTCAGGGCAACAGGAGCAAGGGCTGCAAAGCAACAAAAATAGTGGCCTGCCTACTTCCTTTGGGAGCTCCATCCTAGGGAAATGCAGGGCTGCTGCTGGCCCGAGAGCCAAGGCAGGAAGTGGCTGGAGTCCTGGGTCTGGAGGCCGTGCCTAGAGTGGAGTAGCAGTGGTGTGGGCCCACATGGCAAACAGCTGCACTGTGCTCGGGGTCTGGATTAGTCCCTGATCACTGTACACCCTCTTATCCTGATGGCAACAGTAGTGAGAGCTGTGGAGCAGCAAAAATGGCCACCTGCCTCTCCTTCTGGGAGCCTCATCCCAGGGAAGTGCAGAGTTGCTTCTGGCCTGAGAACTTAGGCAGGTGTTAGTGGTTCACTTTTTACAAATAATGAACTAGCATTGAGACATCATTATCACTAAAAGTCCATCATTTGCATTAGAGTCACTCTTGGTGTTGCATGTTTTATGGCTTTTGAGAAATGTATAAGGATATGTATCTACTATTGTAATACCATACAGAATACCTTCACTGCCCTAAAACTCATCTGTTCCCCACCAATTTATTCTTCCCTCCTCCCTTACCCCCTGTTAACCACTGATATTTTTACTGTTTCCATAGTTATGCCTTTTCCAGAATGCCAGAGTTGGAATCATACAGTGATTCTATTCAGATTTGCTTTGTTCATTTAGTAACATTCATTTAAGGTTTTCCCATATCTTTTCTTGGCATGAGAGCTCATTTTTCTTTGCAGTGAATAATAATTAAATCATTGTATGGCTGGACCATTGTTTACTTATTCATTAACCTATTGAAAGACATCTTGGTTGCTTCCAGGTTTGGCAATTTTGAATAAAACTGTAAACATCAATGTGCAGGTATTTGTGTGGACATACATTTTTAGCAGATTTGGGTAGATATCAATAAGATCAAGATAAGATTGCTGATTCATATGGTAAGAGTATATTTGGTTTTGTAAGAAACTGAAAATATCTTCCAAATTAGCTGTTCTGTTTTGCATTCTCAGCAGTAATGAATGAGAGATGCTGATGCAGCATTTGGTATTATTAGTGCTTTGGATTTTAGCCATTCTACTCTTGTCATCTATATTTAATTATGTTGTTTTTCAGATGTCTTGCTGTTATTTTTCTTGAGATTTTCATTTGTCCTTCATAAATGTGTGTCCATAGATAATATCTAATCATAAAATAGGTGATATTTTATGAACACATCAAATATTACAGTGATTTGCCCAAAGAATTCCACAGCGATTTATTTTCTTTGGATGTTCTTAATCTCCTTATTGCTCCTTCCCCTGAGCAGAGCAATAATTGTGCTTTTCCTCACATTGTGTTCAATTAAATTATCCTCTTTATTGAAAATACACTCCCATTCCCTCTTTGGGTAATTAGATTTTATCTTTTTCTAACACTTTAACAATTCCCTTCTTAGCATATATATTTTCCTTATTGTGGCAGACACTGTTTGTCGCTTGCCTGTCATTCTCATTTCTTCACCAACGGATTCCTGATTTTTCTTAGATGTAAAAGTGGTCCCAGAGTAAGAATTTATGTAGTTGCAACAATCTGTTTCCATTTTTTCCTCTGACAGGCATAGTAGAACTTGGGCTACTCCATTCTACTCAACTAGAGAGAAAAGATGTCATCTGCAATGTCATGGAACAATATTTAGTTTCTTGACAATAACAGAGAGAAGTGAGAGGAAATCTCCTTGGCTTTCTTCTTCCCTTCTTAATAAATGTGGGAAGATATAATCACTGCAGTTATGGCAGCTATCTTGTGATTATAAAGGAAGAAGTACCATGATGAGAATGCAGATGGAAAAATGAAAAGAGCCAAGGATTGGGTCTGTGTGATAATTTTGACTCATAAAACCACCTACAGTACCACCTCCCTCAATAAGACACTCAGTTGATATTTCCTTACTTGAGCCAAACGTATCCTGATACCCTCCTAGAAATAGACTTAGTGTCAATGGCCATGCCCACATCTTTGAAACATTATCAATAGTATTTATATCAGAAAAAGGTGTCAGCTCTTTGTATTTCAGCCCAATTTAGGCCTAAAGATCTCAGGTGCAGGGTATTAGTTAATTAGACATTGTGCCTCTTCTTAAAATTCATATTTGAAATATAAGAAATTTAAGGCAATGTTTTAATTGCCTATGTGTATCTTCACCATATTTCATGACACTTTGGAAAGAAAATCAATATATGCGTTGTATTACATATGCCATCTGTCAATATGTAGAAAATATGATCACAAACCTTTGTAACAGTTCTGGGTAAAATTTTTAGTATCTATTGTTTTTTTCCTTTTTCTTTGCCTTACAATTTTTTTTTCTTTTGAGATTGGAGTGGAGCTAAATGGGCTGCACAACCCCTTCTTGATGACAAGCAATTTTCTTCCCACTCTACCAAATAACTCCCACACTAAACTTACATTTTGTATAATAAAGTTTTTCTGTATTTTGTGTTTGTTTTTTATTTGTTTTTTGGAGATTTGAGAGCATTAACTAACAGTTACGGCACTCTTTTGATTAAAATTATCATTTTCTTCCATTAGTACTTGAAATAAAATCCAAACTTATCACTGGAAATGCTGTTAACTCTCTCTCTAGCTATATCTTTATAAATCTCCCCACAAACAGTGACACAGTTGCTAAAGTTTGCCAAAATTTTTCCAAACACATACCTTAGACCTTTCCAAACAAGGGCCTGAGGTCCTCTTCTCCTAGAAAGCTTTGCTTCCCATCATTTAGCCTTCACTGCAAATATTACCAACTCAGACAGGCTAGCTCTGTTCACCCCTCTGAAAGTTCTGTATTTCAGCTGCTCAACTCATGGTTACCTTTATTGATTATTTTATATTGCCTTTCTCATCCTGAGTAGATATTTTAATCTATTTTTCTACTTCTTAATTACTGTCAAGCCTTCTCCCCTACCACCATCACAAGCTACAATCATGACAGTGATTTAGAACATAATCACTTTAAAATCTTTAAAATTTCACCTTTAAAATTTCACCTTTATGCATCATCATGTTTGGCAAACAATTACTTTGAAACATAATTTGAAATAAATAGGTAGATAAATAAATGAATAATTATCTGTAATAATGATAAATAAAAAATGTTTTTAAGACTCATTTTCCTTCCTTCACTCCCTTCCAATAACTTGAGCTTTAGTCCACTCAACAAGTGGGTTCACCTTTTCTCTTCTCTCTCTACTGCCCCTTCTCTAATTTCCTTTGCATTTCTTATTATTCTGCTGAGAAATTAACTTAGGACATGAGTATCTTCTTCCATCCATGGCGTTGACATGAAAACTTCTATCCTCTGAAAAGCCTATTTGGTTATTTTTCTAAACAAATACAAACTTTCTTGAAAGCCTACTGGTTAAAATAATATTTTTATGCCACACCAAATCAGGTAACCAGTGTCTTTACTTCATTTAAACAGATACAAAAGCATTTTATGCCATTCATCCCATTGAGTTATTATTGAATTATTTTTGTGACATTTTAAAAGTTAAAAGTCTAGACATTTTATACTTTTGCATCAAATATTATATTTTTCATATTCTTAATAAATTACCTATAACACTGATTGTACTTTTTCTGAAAAAATCTATTCATTCTTCTTTCATGACCATTAAATTAACAAATAAAATTTGGTTACTAGATTCCATTTTTCAGAAAGTTTGTAAGTATCATTGAGCACAATTGATTTTAAGAAATATGACAAATACAGAAGCAATATTGTAATAACGTAGAGTCACCCTTTACTCTTAGAAAAATGTAGAGTGAACATTTTTTCATATTATTCTACATACTTTTTAATATTATGTTCTAAATATTTAAACTATTTTGGATACTTAACTAAAATAACTGATTAATTTTATTGATTGAACTGATCTACATGGCTAATTAAAATAATTAATTTTCCAGTATTGGAATTAGACCTATATATAAAAACATCATTTCTGCAGAATACTAATGTGATTTTGGAAAAGCTATTTGTTTCTTAGGGCTTCAAATTTCTCATTTGTAAACAGAGAAAATGTCTAAATTTAGGGAAGTCACAGAGATGAAATTAGATAAGCAATATATTATATATACTATATATCTTATATATGTAATTATTTTTGATGATATGTATTATATATTAGCACAATGTAGTTGTCATTTTCAGCAGTTTTTCACATTCCCTATTACAAAGTAACTACCCAATTTATATTCCTGACTGAATTTTATTTAATCATTTTAATGTATTTTATTAAACTATTTTCATATTTTAGGCTACTTACCTTTTTCTGATTACAAATGATAAGTGATTTAGAACCTACTTCTATTAATACATAGTTGTAATATTAAAATCGATTTATAAATGAATGGAGATTAGGACAGAAACTTTCTTCTTAGTTCTCTAATATTAGCCCTGCTTATATTGAGGCACTTTTACATAATGGCTCCCCTTTCTAAGACAGAAAATAGCTTTAGAATGCATGTACTTTAAACTCCTGACCTCGTGATCCACTTGCCACGGCCTCCCAAAGTGCTGGTATTACAGGCGTGAGCCCGGCCCAAGACCAGCCTGGCCAAGATGGTGAAACCCCGTCTCTACTAAAAACAAAAAATTAGCCGGGCGTGGTGGTGGGCGCCTGCAATCCCAGCTACTCAGGAGGCTGAGGCTGAGAGTTGCTTGAACCCGGGAGGCGGAGGTTGCAGCGAGCCAAGATGGCACCACTGCACTCCACTCCAGCCTGGGCGACAGAGCAAGACTCCTTCTCAAAAAAAAAAAAGAGTGCATGTACTTTAGAAAGCATTTATTGGAGCCACTTAAAACTTTTTGTGGATACAAGATGCATATTATATATTTAAAAAATTGTATCATAAAGACGTATGCTCCTTCTGGATCACTGTTTATCAACAGAGCATGGTAGATCTCTTTTCCTGCCCTCCCGCTCTCCACTCTGCACAGAAAGTTTGGCAATAGGCAGCAGCTTTCTTGAAAGTCTCAGTGATTGAGGTTGGCACGTGCACTTAATTTTGAGCACAGCAGAACTGGTAAACAACCTGAAGTGTTCATGATGTTCTACACAAAAAGAGTTATCCTTTTAAAAATATCAAAAACAACCTTATTTTAAATACTGGAAGACAAATTCATGATATCTACATGGTATTAAAATTTATGAATTTGGAGTGGTAAATGCTACCAGATGCCTTAAAAACAATAGTATCATCATCCTCTACTTTTAATTAAAAGAAAATTTATCTAACAGGTATATTTAATTTGTTTTCTTAGATTTTCTTGTTATGTCATTGTCTTATGTAACCATATATAAGTCACAAGATATGATAAATTTATCTAAACCTTTCCAATAATTCTTTTTACCTCTTTCTAATTTTCACATGGTTTGGCTTTAGCCAGAAATTTCAAAACAAAATGACAAACAGAAAATTTTATAGTGATCATTCTCATTTGTCACTTCTAGTAATACTTGTAAAAATGAGAAGTTCTTTGTAATAATTTCTGGCATTTTTGTAAGATTTTAAATTTGTCATGATTTTATTATTTAAGACTTTACCTTAAGGTCTTTTCAAATTGTTATCTATAATCTGATTATTTTTTCATAGTTTTAAATAATTTTTATGGTAATTAAAGTAGAATACCTCCAGTTTTATATTCCTCAGTTTTGTAAAAATTCAAATAATACATATGACTATATAGATACTCTTTTTCAGGTGTTTAAAAGGGAATTATGCTTCTCTTAAAAATTTAGCTGGGAATACAAACCCATTTCTTTAAATTATGGCAAACTATCATGAGATATATATATATATATACACACACACACTTATGTTTTATCATTTTTATACATCTTTAATTCAATTAAATTGTAGCTGACAGATTCTTTAATTATCTAATCCTCCAATAATCACTGCTGTTCTTATAGATCTTTTCCCTCTTTTGTTTAGTTATAGCTGCCTTGGTGATCTCTGGTAACTTGTTGGTCTATGTCCTCAAATCTATATTACCTTTTTTCTCAAACTATTTCGAGTTTGTTATCCAATTCCGTTTGGTCAATGTAATCAAGTTGAACATTCACCATCTGCTTATGCTCTGTTTAATACAATTGAAGGAAGACAAGGACCCTCATTAGACAACCCAAACCTCTGACTTCAACCACCACTATACTAGACAAGTCAAACTCCATATACTAGAAACACTCACTGGCCTCAAGTTTACTTTCCTTTTCAAGGTAGTAATCTTTCTCCATAAACATCAATTCTTCATCTTTGTATTTCTTCTTTTTAATATCTAAACTTGGTTGACTGCATTTCCAGCCTTGGTGCTGTATTACCTAATTCTCTCAACCTCTGGTCAAATGAGGAAAACTACTTACCCGATGTGATTTAGGAGGATATTAAATAAAGCCATTTAAATAAAACCCATAGCACTGTGCCTGGTAAACAAAGCGTGATGAGTAAATGTTAGCAATTCTTATTGTTTAATTATTATAATTACCAAACTTTCTCAAAATGATTTTTCTGTTTTATTAATGACCACTAGCTGTATTGGAAAATCATTTTTATCAAAATATTATTGATACATGAATATTAGAAATTACAAAGTTTTTTTCAGGAAATATATTCTAATCCCTTAAAACTAAGCTCATAAATCAAATATTTATTACATGTTAAAATCAAAATCATAGCAGTCAAGATTTGGAAAAGACTTAAGATTTTCTTCATTTTAAGGTCATCATTTAATTGTGAAGCCAGAAAATATATGACTTGCCCAAGGGACTCTCATCAATAGCTTCTCAGAAATAATTAATCTCAGAGGAAATAGATTTTGGTACTTATTAAAAATCTATTTTCTTAATTTTCAAATTGTAATTATTAATCATTAGATTATCAGAAACAAGACTATCAGTCTTTTACTACTTTCAGTTATCATTTTTAATATTGTTTTAGTATATATTTTAAGTTGTAACTTCAATTCTGGATTCACCATCATTGGTTTATTAATTTTATTTATATATAAAAAGAGTATCTAATGTATACTATCACTATGCTGTTTTACAAATAATATGTAATGTAAGCCTCATATAACTATTTAAAAAGGTGCTTCTATTATTCTCATTGCATATAGAAAGATTTGACAGAGTAAATTGGTTCTTTCAGACAAACATTGAACCCATCATCTGGTATGCTGAGTTTGTTCCTATCTTACAGTTTCCCAGTCAGAGTGTGTTTATCAGGTTGATCAGACCCTCTCCTAAGAGTAATCTGGTGCAATGCGATCAAATGATGTACATAAGTTGAAAGCTAGTTTCCTAGCATTTATCTTTAGGTCTCCCAAAATGATTATCTAAATGTATATATACAAGGTATCTGTCAAGTAATTCTTTTCGAAGTTCCACATCTCTTTTATTTCCAGGTGACATCCTTGAAGGAAACCTCATATACGTCTAATAATTGTAAAAATACATTCAAGAATTGATGAGTCATAGTACATTAAAGAGTGATTTCTTGATTAGTCTGTTTTCTTAACATAATGGATGTAATATTGTATCTGCAAACATAGTATAATCCTTTCAGCCTCCTGCTAAAATTTTAAGTATTTAAAACTGCCTAATAGCATAGCAGAGTTGAGGTATTCATCACATATGTTTCTAATTCAGACTTGTAGTTCTCTTTCTTAAAATTTTGTCTCCCTTTCTATCGATTTTCTTTACTAGAAAGTGTGCGTTCAGCTTTTAAAATAGGCAAGAGATTAAGGTGGCTCATTCACTGATTCCCATTTTATTGCAGGATATATGAAACATGTATCTTCTTGTTATATACATCCCATATTATAGCTCTATGAAATACCTAAGTTTTAGATTTGCATTTCAAAAGAGAATTGCAAGCCTTCTTAAGAGTAATGTTACCTATCTGATGCTTTCATTGAAAACAAAGTTTAAATTTCATCTCATTGGCAAGGTCAACTCTAAATCTTACTACACAAATTTAGAATTTAGAGTGGTTGTATTCAGAGGCTTTTATTTTGTGATTGAGTTTATGCTTATCTTCTTTTTATCTTACGGATATTATAAAAGTAGTAAGAGTAGTTAAAACGGGTGTATTCAGTAAAGGATTTGGAAATAGATATCATGAAAAGTACTCTTCCTATCTAGGTACACGAATCACATTAGAATTAGTGCAGAACCAAGACATTTAGACAAGGTTTTAAGTAGCCACAAGTCTTTTCTTCCTAGGAATGCCTGTCATTTTCTTTATTGAATTTAGATCATTTAAACCTCTTTTGTATACTCAGATCTATGATAAGTTCTAAAAATCTGATTTCCAGCTTATTCAGCTTGTTCTAATTTTAGGATAGCTCTGTAAGAATATAATGACCAGCTTAACCATAGTGATATATTCATTTCCAAATAATTCTTTATAATATCAATACTTCTAAATTTTGGAATGTAAATATAAATAACATTTTCTGTTCCTATTTAGAGGGAGGGCTATACACATATTTGTAATTTAATGTAAGGATCATAGTGGATATTCCTCATGCAGTAGAAATATAGTTGATAAGAGGGAATCTATCCTATTTAGAAGAAAAAAACAGCTTTCATAGGAAGTAATGAGCAAGCTGAGAGACAGTGAGGAGATTGAGAGTTCCTTACTGGGGCTGGGGCTGGTGGAGAGTGCCTTCCATTGTATGGACATACCACAGTGTGCTCATCTATTTACTAATTAATGGACATTTGAGTTATTTCTAGTTTTGGGTAATAACAAAGCTATTATGAACATTCATGTACAAGTCATTGTAGAGACATAAATTTCATTTCTCTTAAATACATAATAGTGTATCCACTCAGTATAGTCCATGTATGTTTAAATTTTTAGGAAACTGCCAACCTGTGGTCCAAAATGGTTATATCATTTTACATTCCCACCATTAGTGTATGAGAATTCCTATTCTTCCACATGCTTACCAAAATTTGGTATCGTCTTTTTGCTTTTAGCCATTCTAATATGTATGCAGTAGCATTGAGCTGTGCTTTCAACTTGCATTTTATGAATGACTAATCATACTGAGCATCTTTTCATGTGCATATTTCACATGCTTATTGGCTATGTCATTCTTGATGAATTATCTGTCCTAATCACCTGCTCGTTTTGTAAATTGGATTGCTGGTTTCTAAATTATGGGCCTTGGAAGTTATTTTATATTTTGGATTCTAGTATTTTATCATGTATATGATTTGTAAATGTTTATTTCATACAGTACATATTTTGCATTTGGTCTTAGCAATATATGTCAAAGACTAGAAGCTTTCATTTTGATGAAAGAAGTTTATCATTTTTTTTCTTTGATAGATTTTGGTTTTGGTGTTGTATCTAAGAAATTGTTTCATTTGAAATGACAAAGGTTTTATCTGATGTTTTCTTCTAGGAGTTTTATAGTTTTATGTTTCACATTTGTGCCTATTATCAATGTTGGGTTAATATTCTAATATGGTATGAAGTATAAAAAATATTCTTAAAAAAACAAAAATGGAAAACAACATATGGATATACAATTGTTCCAACATAATTTATGAAAAAACTATACTTTCTCCCTTGAATTGTTTTGGGCCCTTTGTCAAAAATCTATTGTTTATATAGGTCAACTCTAGTTTCTAATCTAAAGTCTATTTTGTTCCATGGACCTATTTATGTATTTTTATGCCAAAACTTGAAATCAAGTATTGTTAGTTCTTCAACTACAATCATTTTCAAGATTGTTTTGAATGTCCTAGGTCTTTTGCATTTCCATATGAATTTTATGATCATATTACAGGTTTCTGAAAACATGCTAAGTGGGATTTTGATAGGAATTGTATCAACCTGTAGATAAATTTGAGGTTTATTGCCATTTTAACAGTATTACTTCTCCGATTAATGCTCATTGGATGCTTTTCATTTAGATGGAGCTCCTTTAATTTCTCTCATCAAAGTACAGGTCTTTCACGGGTTTGTCAGATTTATCCTTAAGTATTTCATATTTTGATCCCGTGGTAAACATTTTCATCTCAATTTTTAATTGCTCATTGCTAGTGTTCAAAATGCAATTGATTTTGTCTATTGCTCTTTTATTCCGCAACCTTGCTGAACTCATTTATTAGTTCTAGTAGCTCTTTTTATGTATTTCATTAGAATTTCTTTATGAATTATCATGCCATCTGCACACAATGACAGTTTTACTTCCTTGCTTTTCATTCTAGATGTCTTTTATTTCTCATGTTTTAGTTTGTTGATATGGCGAATTACACTGACTGCATTTCAAATGTTTAACCAAACTTGTATTTGTAGGATAAGCTGCATTTAGTACATGAATTATTAATATAGATAGATCGATTGGAAAGATATATTCAATTTCTATTTAAAATAAATGTCATCTAGATTTATGAGGAATACTTGTCTGTATTTGTTTTTTTTTTTTTTGCAGTGTCTTTGTCTTGCGTTGATAGTGCAGTAATGCTAACCTAACAGGATAGGTTACAAAATATTCACTCTGTTTTTGTTTTGTTTTGTTTTCTAATGAGTTTGTGTAGAATTGGTGTTGTTTCTTCCTTAAATATTTGGTTGATTCTAGCAATAAAGCCATCAGAACTGGGAAAATTCCTTGGGGTAACTGTTTTAACTAGCAACTCAATTTCCTTAATATCATCTCTTTTTCCTGATGCTTATATCTTTTGTTCTCCCTTTTTCCTTTCTGATGTATCTGGATAGAGGTTTATCAATTTTATTGATCTTCTCAAGGAACTAGCTCTTGGCTTCATTGATTTTTCTATTGTTTTCCAGTTTACTGATTTCCACTCTAATTCTTATTTTTTTTCTTCTCCTTACATTGAATTTTGTTTTTCCTTCTTTCTTTAAGGTTTTCTTTTTTTCTGGTGGTTGCTGAAGTGAAGACCTTAACAAGACACTTCTGCTTTTCTAACGTAGAAATTCACCACTATTAAGTTAATTACTCCCTAATATCCTTACTGCTTCTGCAGTATCCTACATATTTTGAAGTGTTTTCACTTCAAAATATTCCAGTTAAAACTGCTTAACTTATATTCATATTTTCCCTTTTTATTTCTTCTTTGGATAATGGGTTATTTAGAAGTGTGTTATTTAGCTGCTAGATATTTTGTGATTTGGTAGGTTGTTATTGATGCCATTATTAGTAGAAAAGATATTTTTAAATTCATTGATATTTGTTTTATGGCTCAGATTAACTTCTATGCCCAAAAGTACTCCATGTATACCTAAATAGTATGTGTTTTCTATTTTTGTTGGATGCAGGCTTCTATAGATACTACTGTCGTCAAGTTGGTCGGTGTATTCTTACTGGTCTTTATATACTTGTTCAATCAATTATTGTGAGCTCCTTTGAAATCTCAAACTGAAATTATGGCATTATCTATATCTCATTGCAGTTTTATTAGTGGCTGGTTCATTTATTTTAAATGTGCAAATATATTTGTTTACATGTAAGCATGATTGTAACCATGTGTTGCTCTTATGATAAAGTAACCCTTTTTTTTTTTTTTTTTTTTGAGACGGAGTCTCGCTCTGTCGCCCAGGCCGGACTGCGGACTGCAGTGGCGCAATCTCGGCTCACTGCAAGCTCCGCTTCCCGGGTTCACGCCATTCTCCTGCCTCAGCCTCCCGAGTAGCTGGGACTACAGGCGCCCGCCACCGCGCCCGGCTAATTTTTTGTATTTTTAGTAGAGACGGGGTTTCACCTTGTTAGCCAGGATGGTCTCGATCTCCTTAAAGTAACCCTTTTATCATTTTGATAATATTGGAGTTTTTTGTTTTAAAATCTACTTTGTCTTACTGTAATGTACTCATCAGCTTTTTTTGGTTAGCATGATATATTTTTCATTTATTCACTTTTAACTGATTTGTTTCTTTATTCAAAAGACAGCATATAGTCGGATCTTTTCAAAATCTCTTTTGAGTGTGTAAACTATTTACATTTTATGTGATAATTGCTATAATAAAGTTTAGCTCTATTATATTCCTGTTTGCTTTTTTATATATCCTATTTATCTCTTTTTCCTTTCTTTTTTATTTTAGAGTACTTACATAGTTTTATGATTTCATTTTCTCTTAAGTTGCTTATGATTTATAATGCTATGACATGATTTCAGTGGTTGCATTAGGTTTAATAGTGTACATCTTTAATTTACATAATTGTGTTCCTTATCTTTTACTAAGACTTTCTTTTTATGGTAAATAAGAATAAAGCTTCACAGAAAAATAGAGTAAAACATATGAAGTTTCTCACATACCTCCTCCCCCTACACACGCACAGCCTCCACCATTGATGTTCCCCTCTATAATAGTACATTTGTTACAATCAATGGACAAACATTAACCCATCATTATCAACCAAAGTCCGTAGTTACTACAGGGTTGACTCTTTATTCTTGGTGCTGTACATTTTGTGGGTTTGGGCAAATGTGTAATGACATGTATAATGATTATTCATATACATATTATATGTCTACTATGATGGTATCACATGGAAACGTTTCCTTGTGCTAAAAATACCCTGTGCTTCACCTATTCATCATCCTCTCCCCCATTACCCCAGCAATCACTAATCATTTTCTTTTTTTCATCTTTTTGACTTATCTATGATGTCATATACTTGGAATCATATAGTATGTATTTTATTTTAGATTAGCTTATTTCACCTAGTAGTATGCATTTAAGTTTTCTCCATATGTTTTCATTGCTTGGTAGCCCAGTTCTTTTTAGTAGTGAATAATATTCCATTTTCAGAATGTACCACAGTTTACTTATCAATTCAAGTAGTGAAGGGCATCATGGTTTTGTCAATTGTGAAGAAAACTGTTGTAAACATCCATGTGCATTTTTTTCGTGTGTGTGGACATAAGTTTTCAATGAACTTAGGTAAATGGCAAGAAGATTAATTTGTGGGTCATATAGTTAGAGAATGTTTGGTTTTGTAAGAAACTGCTAGAGTGTTTTCCAAAGTGTCAGTGCCATTTTGCATTTTTACCAAAATCTTACTGCTTCAGAATCCTCATCAGAATTTGTTGTTGCCAGTGTCTGAGACTTTAGTTATTCTATTAAATAGCTAGTGGTATCTTATTGTTTCAATTTGCAGTTCCTAAATGACATATGATGTTGATCATCTTTGTATATGCTTATTTACTATATGCATATCTTCTTTGGTGAAGTGTCTGTTCAGATATTTTGCCCATTTTTAAGTAAGTTTTTATTTTCTTGTTTTATTTACCTTATTTTATTTATTTATTTAATTTTTGGAGGTAGAGTCAGTCACCCAGGCTGGACTTGAATTCCTGGGCTTAAGCAATCCTCCTACCTCAGCTTGCTGAGTAGCTGGGACTACAGCCACAGCTTGTTTGTTCATTTTCTTATTGTTCAGTTTTAAGAGTTGTTTGAATATTAAATACAACAGTATTTTATTAAATATTTCTTTCCAAATATTCTTTCTCCATTTGTGGCTTGTCTTCTTATTCTCTAGACAGTGTCTTTCACAGAGCAAATGTTTTTAATTTGAATGGAATCCAACTTTATCAGTCCCATATGCCAATATACTCCTGAGAAAAACATCAAACAAATTCCTATAAAGTGCATCCTACAGTAGTACTTCTCAAAATGTCAAGATCATCATCCTTATGTCTTAGGAATGAGTAAGCACTATACTAAACATGCCAGAATAAATCACAAATCATACGGGAATAAATAATAAATTTGAGTTAATCATACTAAGGTTTCACTGTCTAAGTCTAGAGCTTCTGTTCAATAAAAACCAACTTGTGCAAATTTAACAGAGATGTACATATTACAATATATTTGCAAAACATAAAATCAATGGTGAAAGAGTATCTATGATACAAAAGAAGACCTAATTAAAATTGACAAAAAGGCAAAAGAAACAATAGAAAAATGGGCAAAGTCAATTTGTAGAAAAGCAAAAGTAAATCATTAACAATTAAAGAGACAGTCAACTTCTTTAGTGTGTAGAATAAGTGAAACATTAGTAAGGTACTACTCTACATATATCAATGTGGCAAAAAGTTAGTAAAGTTGAAACTGACAAGTTTTCTGAAAAAAGAAAACCATCTTGCCCTTCCTGCAGGAATTTATACAGGTGCAACCCTACTGGCAGTATTAGATAGTTTAAGTATTATCATTCATGGCTCAAAAATCCTAGAAAGATTCTTATAAATTTTCCAAACAAGCCAAGAGTGAGATTTGAATTGCAATGGTACTTGGTGGTAAGGAGTAGAAGGTAGTGTAGGGGCACACATTATTGAGGGATGGATGAAATACAAACAGTGAAATACTCTCAGGAGTCAAAAGCCAAAAAAGCTACTTGTATGGTAAGCAGTGTGAATAGGTCTTTAAACAATGTTGAGTAAAAAATTATGACAGGAAATATCTATAGCAAAATGCCATTTATGTTAGTCAAATACACACACAATCTACATATTTTAAAGGAATAAATACAATTTAAAGATACATTCTATTGGGTACAAGGCTTAAAACCTGGGTGACAAAATAATCTGTACAAAAAGCCCCCATGACACAAAGTTTACCTATACAACAAACCTGCACATATAACCCTGAACGTAAAACAAAAAAATATATATATTCTAAGCACTCAGGATAGCAGGGAACATAACTAGGGGATAGGCATAAGAGAAAATGAATAGATGCATAAATAATTTAATCTTAAAAGTGAAATTAAATCATTTACTCCCATAATGCAAAAATTAAAATAATACAAAAGTTAAAATTAAAATTTATCATAAAATCTAAAATTGCACAGAACCAAGCATACATAATATTTTTTAAAAATTTACTGCATTCCATCCAGGAAATAAACCTTCCTTGAACCAGGTATTTGTAAGCCAAGATGTGTACCTGTGAGGTTATTGTTTATTGCCCTCTAGAGTACACTCATATTAATTAGCACAAAAATCAGCTCAGTAAAAATTAATAAAGAAATATGTTTAAGTGCCATATGTTTCTATTAATTCATGCATGCCATTGCAATTATCCATAATTGCTAAGCAAAGATCAGACAATTACTGACCCTAATAAATATCACAAAGTTAGACTGTACAATTAATTGGAAGTTTATGAGAATTTTGAGCTTGGATGCCAGTCATGTCCAGAGAGTTTGTAAAATAACCTATGCTAATCATTCACACCCAATACCTCTGAGAAGAAATAAAACTGGTAGTAAAACCAAGACTCAAATGCAATGTTTCCTGAACTTGAATTGAACTCTGATAACTATTTGTTGGGTGGATTTGGACATTAAAAAATCAACCAAAGCTTTGTTTGAGGAGCCAAGCAGCTGGAGCCACTGACTGCACCTTGGGGATGCCATTCCCATCACAGTCTCATAGACTTGAGTATTTATTATGACAGTTCTTGGCTAATGGTAGTAAATTATTCGTAAAATGGGGTGACATTCTAATTATTTTAGAGGTGACATTCGGGTAAGCTGAGGTTTTAAGAACAACATCACTAGTTTCAAAGAAGTATGAAGATGATTACCTCTTTTGCTACTATCTTCCTCAATTCACCTCATCTTCCTCTATTATTTTATTTGTGAAAAAAGAGAGACCTTTTGCCCTGTCTCCTGCTAATCCAATATCTATGCCATACAGGTTATCTATTACTACTCTTTAAAAGATAGGCTCTACCTCCTCATGCTTAGCCTTTTCTTCATATAACAAAATATTTCGAGTGGGAGTCACCTATAACCAAATATAAAAACAAGCCCATAAATTATAAATACCAAAAATATAGAAACAATTGTGTAAATAAAATAATTTGTATCCAGTTTACATTGGCTTTTATGAATTTTATCTCTTGTTTACCTCAAGCCCTCCAGCACAGAGTCCTGGTTTTGTCTGTGTGTGTGTGTGTGTGTGTGCATGTGTAGTATATTGTCGTATTCCTAATACACTGAGTTATCTCATTGGTTTTGCCAAAAACACTCATGATACATATTTTTGTCACTATGGAGGAACAGTTAGCTTTTTGAGTAATTGTGTCAGGGATGCCCAGGACCATTGTCAGATTCAAAGATTCACCAGAGCGACTCACTGAAATCAGCAAAGCTGTCACATTCATGGTAGTAGTTTATTACAGGTAAAGGATACAGCTTAAAATTAGCAAGATAAAAGACACTTAACAGCAGATGGTCCAAGAGAGACCAGGAACAAGCTTCTAGTTGTCCTCTCTCACTGGAAGCACTGAAATAGTGCTTAATTCTCCAAGCAACGATGTGTGACAGCACATGTAAAGTGGTGCCAATCAGAGAAGTTCACGTGAACCACGGTTCCCAGGGTTTTTGATTTATATGACTTATAGTATTTTTACCTATATGACTTAAAGGTAAATCATATAGGCATGTGGCTCTCATTTGATTCACCTGAGCTACTCAGACCCAGAACCCCCAGAATTCAAACTGGTACAGTGTGACCCAAAGCTCCAGGAATAGAAAACAAGCATCTACCATTAATCACATTGTTAGCATAAACTGTCTGGCATTTCCAAGGTCTCAAATCTACAAAAGCACTCTTTGTATTCCAAAAGACTCTTAAGAGTTCAGAGGTTATCTCCCAGGAGCCGATCAAGGGCTGGTCCTGAAGACCTTTGGAATCTGCAGTTTGGGCAAGCTAGACCTGCTGAGTTAACCCTTTGCTGCACAATAATATTGAAGAGTACAGGCACACGGAATAGCTACTTTTTCTCCCTTTTTCTCAGTGGCACCTGTATGAAAGGGTAAGGCAGTGGCAATTGGTAAAAAGGGCAAGGAAGCTTTCTTTAAAACTACTATTTTTCTTAAGTTGAACATATACTTAGGAGGATGATAACTGCAACCAATCACACTCTATCCAGCTGCCCTTTAGCTACCTCTCTTGCCTTAACAACTTCTGAAGAAAAATTCAGTGGAAACTTCCAGAAGAACAGACACTCTAGAGTATGCTCCTTGCTTTCTCATTGGCCCACTTAGTCTTGAATCTCACATTACCCAGTGGTCTACATGGCATCATTTTCTCACTGAGTGCCTACTCTTGGCACCATAACTGTGTTTGCTGAATCTGCTTTCACTCCCTGGCACCCCTCCACTAACAATTTGGATGTAATGGTGTAGTGTGCTTTGCTCAATTTGATGGCAAGCTTACAAGTGAGGGTGTTGATTACTGCATCACAGTTCAACAACTCTGGGTGACAGTGCACAAAAGCATAGCCATGGCATCTGGCTGGGCACACAGGCACAGACAAGCCATTGGCGGGAAGACTTATGATTATTCATGGCTGATCCTGATAATCTAGAGCCCAGAGTGTGGGCAAAGCATTTCTTTCCTTTGCCCTCCTGTCACCTTTAAGTCTACACACAGCCTCATTTTAGTGGATTCCTTAAATCCTCTTATTCTTGGACCTCCCCTCCATTCTTTTACCCTTCTGGGTTCTGCAGAGATCCCAGGCTTTACCCTTATAACTATTTCAGTTGAGATTATTGAGCTAGGTTTGCTCCTTATATCTGAGACCAGGGATATCAAGTGATTGTTCATTGGCTAGATTAGAGACCTATTTCTGACTTTATTATATTTTTTAACCTAAGAAGCACTATAAAAGATCTTTACCTTCAAGAAATTACAAGGAAAGAAACATCTTCAGCTAATTTGATGATCTCTTAGTGAAGGAGAAAGATAATAATGCTCTGTTTTATATGTTTTTACTGTTATGTTTCTACTCTTTTATTTGTAAGCAGGTATCATGCCTGTGTGTACATATGCACATATGTGTATGGCTGTATATTGTACACATAAATTAGAAACTCTGGAGGTGTCTCCCAACAATTTGTGTTTTGACATGTCCTTCAGGTGCTTCTGAAGCACACTCAAATTTAAGAACCACTATCTTAGACAATGGAGCAATGGAAAACACATATGAGTTTAAAAATTAGGCATTGTAGATTAATATTATTGTGATGTTTTATGCTTGATAAATAGATACACAAGTAATACAGATAACTTGTGATTCTGACAGTGAATATCTAGAAATCAATGAATGATAGCTACAGATAATATTGTCCCTGTCTTTCAGTTTAAGCAGAGGAATGTTTCCTGCTCTCACTAAAATTTCTTCCTTGTGTCAAATAAAGCAGTTGATGCATGAATAGTTGGTTTTGACTGGGGAGGGTGACGTTTTCCTTTAGCAGATCTGACGACAGAGCAGCTCTGTCCCTACATTTTTTCTAGATGCAAATTATGTGTAAAAATGTCAATGAAAACATGTTTCTGCTTCAGATATAACAGATTCGACACTCTAGATAGATGGAAACTAGTCAAGGTCAATGTATCTACTGTTTTATCCCTGCAGCAAGTACTAAAAATAACTGGACTCAATATCAAGACAACATATATGAGCACAACAGAATATTTTTCAATAAATATCTTTCTAGTCTTGAAAAGTATCAGACAGTAAGCTAAAATTGCTCTTATATATACTATATCTGATCTGCACATATCCAGTCTATCAACTTGCCTATCTCATCGTTAGTTTATGAGATTGAATGAAAAATATGAGCCCTAAGGAAATCCAGGTCTTAATCCTCAAAACCTGCGAATATGTTATCTTACGCCAAAAAGAGGAGAGAAGGCTTGGCAAATGTGATTAAGGTTATGAACCTTGAGAGTGGGAGATTATTTTGGAGTATCTGTGTGAGCCCAGTCTAATCACATGGGTCCTTTAAAGTGGAATAACTTTCCTGGCTGTGGTCAGAGAGATATGTGACTGTGGAAGCAGCCCCAAGAGGTGTGATATGAGAACCACATGATGCCAGTTTCTGGTTCTGAGATGTGGGGGCTATGCTCAAGGGCTAGAGAAAGTCCTCTAGAAGCTAAGAGTGTCTCTAGACTGATAACTAAAGCCAACAAGAAAATACAGGCCTCAGTCTCTGCATTTGTGTTATTGGACAGTTTTCACCAGTGTTACAATATATAATTTTATAGTAAGCCACGACATTTATTATGTGGAATTTTCATTTCTTTCTGCTTCAAAATTGACACCTTTGTTCTTGGCTCTACATTTTAATATACAATCTAATATTAATTGTTTACTCATACCAAATGGGTTAAAAATAAAACAGGGGCATTTTTATTGAAAACGCATTGCCTCGGCCGGGAGCGGTGGCTCACACCTGTAATCCCAGCACTTTGGAAGGCTGAGGCAGATGGATCACGAGGTCAGGAAATCAAGACCCTCCTGGCCAACATGGTGAAACCCCATCTCTACTAAAAATACGAAAATTAGCTGGGTGTGGCGGTGCGCACCTATAGTCCCAGCTACTCGGGAGGCTGAGGCAGGAGAATCCCTTGAATCTGGGAGGCGGAGGTTGCAGTGAGCCAAGCTCGTGCCACCCTACTCCAGCCTGGAGACAGAGCAAGACTCCATCTCAAAAAAAAAGAAAAAAAGAGAATGCATTATTGCCTTTATAGGTTGATGTAGGTTTAATTGGCATGCACCTTTTCACAGTGTATCGTCCTAAAGAGAAACATGGTGAACCTATTCCTTGACTTAGGCCTTTCAAAGATCTTTCAATAAATTTTATATTTTTCTTCATGAATTTTTTTACACATTATTTTTGTTGGATCATGCATTTCTTGAACATTGTTTTTGTAAAATATGAAATTATTCATTTTGTTTTATAAAAGCAAGTAAAGCATAAATTTCCTTCTGAATACCATTAAGCTTCCATCTGAATTCAGTATCTGCACTCATTAATTAACCTTGCTTCACTCTATGGTTGAACATTATCAAAATATTTAAAAAACAATTTTAAAAATTATGTAAAAAATATGTGAAATTTGTATTGCAGAGAATTCTTGACTTGTGATTGTTTGGCTTGCAGGTTTCTGACTTTATAATTTTTCTGACTTTATGATAGTTTTATCAAGGTGTTAAATGCATTTTCAGCTTATATTTTTGACTTAGAATGGGTTTATCAGGTCATAACCCCATCATAAGTTGAGGAGAATCTGTATTTTATTATTTTAACTTAACTTCCTTTTTAAATGTGTATTTATAAATAAATTTTAAGTGTATTGAATCTTTTGATATTTAAAGCAATTTAATTTAAATTTTAAATTAAAAACTGTAAATAGCATAAATGGGAAAATATTCCAACACAACTTATCATTGACATGTAAGAAACATAAGACATCTGAATTTAATAAAAAGTGGCAAAGATATGGATGATTACCTATCATAAGAGCAATTAGTAATCCATATTATTCAATTGGTAATATCAATGCCAAATGAGTATGTATTATTTTGGTCCATTAAAAAGTTTCAGGGAGATACTGGACAAACAACTTGAAAATCTAATGTTAAATTTTCATTTCAAGTACAAGGAAAACTCCTAAAATACTCATAGAAATATTCTACTATAGTAAATCAGATGATCTGAATTGATGGAAATGGCAAACTATTGACTAAAATCTATTCCAGGAAAAAAACAGCTGTTGAAGTCAGCTGCTCTGGTATAAATAAAACAAGTTAAACCACAAGGGCAGAATCTTAGAAATTTGGAAACATAATTATGCCATCTGGAAATAGACTAATCAGAGAATAGAGATTTGGAGAAAATAAAATTACAAATAACTTGAAAAACAATAACAAATATGTGTTATCTATACTCGAAGTCCAATTTGCTTACCACTTACAAGATTACTGTGTTTCTGTAACTGTATTGTACTGTATCCCCTGTTATCTGTGTCCATCAATTTATTTTTAGTATACAGATGGTGATTTTCTAAGTTATATTTTCCATGCATAAACTAAGTTACATTTTATTACATGACTGAAGTTTATTGTCCATAAATCAAGTCATAGAAATGAAAGGTCTCAGAAATTTTTTATGTGGCATTCAGAATGTTGATGTGTGTGTGTGTGTGTGTGTGTGTGGAGATAGAGTGAGAGTGTGTGTGTGTGAGAGAGAGGGAGAGAGAGAGAGAAAAGAGAGAAAGACAGGGAGAGAGAGAACAATTTACATTGTTCTCTTACTCCATGCTTAAGCATTTTTGAAAATATACTTGATCTTCAGGATCAACATTACTAAGCAAGAAAATGACCAAGAAATGATGAAGACAATTATTCCTACTGTGACAAACAAGCATGTCATACAAAAATAAGACTGTGCCTTTAAATTATTTATATATTTCTGTGTGTGTATATTATGCAATCTTCTCAGAATGGACTGCCCTGATTATCTTACCTAGAGCAGCTGCTGCTGTACTGTCCAAACTCCTCAACACCGAATACATTCCATACCTAGGGCACAATTGTGTGTTGTAAGATAAATAATCATAGAATAATATTAGAAGTTGTATAATTGCTTATTTTATAAAATTAATTTGAATATCATTTATATTTCAGTAACCTATTATTTTTCATTACAAGGTCAGAAAAACATTTCACTTGTAAAAAACATAAGAGATGTAAGTCTAAAATTTCTCTGTGTCATACATTTCCTTTAATGAATAATCGGCATTTCTGTTATATCAATAAGGACAATATTATATATAACACACTACAAAATGTGTGGCAGTAGACATTCTTATGAATATTGATTACACACATATATGACTAGAAATGGGCATGATTTTCTGATCACATAAAAACTTTGAAGCTTCAAACTATATTGTGTGTACACATAATGATGTTTTCCATTTGCAAGACAGAGAAAGCCAAGACAAAGAGAGAAGAAGAAAGAGAAGCAGAAGACAGATAATTTGGTTCAAGTCTCTAACTCATTGATCAAAAATAGGACTGCCATAAACATTCAGAGAGAATTCTAGTCAGAATTAACCCAGTAATGATAGTATTTTATAGTCATTTCAGCTCGTAATAAATCCCTTCTCCATGAATTCTCATAATTCAAGTCTGTTGTATTAAAATACAGAGCTAAATTTTTTCAAAGAATATTACCATTATTTTTATAGTGTTTTAATACATTAGAAAAAATGCTTTATTTCAATTGGAAGAATGTAGAAAATAAAGCTCTTAAACGTTGTCTTTCAGATATGCATCAGATCTGAAGCACAGTCCAGCTTTACTAACACTGCTTCACAACTAACTATATTTTAATAATTTCTAAAAGCAATAATTATAAATACATTTTCCCCCAGAAAGAATCTATGTCTGAACATTTTACCCATCTTATAACATTGAAATACTTTGCTAAATCTAATTCAAGTAAATATTGCTTTAGTAGGCACCAAATTGATATATTTCCTTCTTCTAGCCTAAGTAAATCATACATATTTAAGCAACAGCATCCAAAATAAGTTGAGAAGAAAAATCTTTGATTAAGATTATGAAAGCACTGTTTGTTGTCTAGTAAAGTTATGGAGATTAGCCCACAATTTTACTTCTATTCTTTAACCATTTTTTTTTTTGCCCTTATTGTTCTAGGATAATTTATGTTCAGCTGTTGGGTTAAATTATATACAATTTTTTCTTTTAAATTTATGGTCTGAGATCCCTTGTGCTGTGTTGTCTAGTTTTTTATTGCAATTATCAATATACAGTTCAGAAAGGTGATTCCAAAAATAGCAAAATGATGGTATAACAATGTAAGTACTTAAGTTACTTCACGCCATGAGAGTAAAAGCTGAGATATTAACAGAGGCCTGATATGTGAAGACGTTTGCTTAATTACTAGTAAAAAATGTTAGGATTTTATTTATAAAAGTGAGCTGCACAAAAATTTAAATTCTAATTATTTATTGAACATTTAGTAAGTATTACGTGCTGTGTAAAATGCTTTTCATGCTTACTTTAATTTCATTCTCACAATGACCAGCAAAATATGGTGGAATGACATGGAGCAGAAAACTAGTTTTACAGAATAAGAAGCCCGACAAAGATGGCTGGACTTTGGCCCAAGTATTCCAGGCAAGGTATTAACTATAAACCTAGAATTTATGCTAAGAAAGTAACTTTGCATCAGTCTGAATAGTTGATATTCTTTTCTTTATAAGAAAATAGACCTTAATCTTCACAGATTTACTTGGTCCTTTGTATCAAAAATAAACACTAGTGAAATAACCATCAATTTCTTCCCAAAAAGTACATGTAGAACGTACCTTTAGTACAGCAGTGATATGATCAGAGAAGTGCTTCATGCCACAACATCATTTTCTTCTTGGAAGTCACAGTAAGCTCCTCTTGCCTGTAGGAGGGCTTTGAGGCAAAATGATCCTTATAATGTGCTTTCGGTGGAGGGACTACTTGAGGTTTTGTGTCCAGAATTGGTGGGTTCTTGGTCTTGCTGACATCAAGAATGAAGCCGCGGACCCTCGCGGTGAGTGTTACAGCTCTTAAGGTGGCGCGTCTGGAGTTTGTTCCTTCTGATGTTCGGATATGTTCGGAATTTCTTCCTTCTGGTGGGTTCGCGGTCTCGCTGGCTCAGGAGTGAAGCTGCAGACTTTCGTGGTGACTGCTACAGCTCTTAAGGCAGCGGGTCTGGAGTTGTTCGTTCCTCCAGGTGGGCTCGTGGTCTCGCTGGCTCAGGAGTGAAGCTGCAGACCTTCGCGGTGACTGTTAACAGCTCTTAAGGCAGCGGGTCTGGAGTTGTTCGTTCCTCCTGGTGGGCTCGTGGTCTCGCTGGCTCAGGAGTGAAGCTGCAGACTTTCGCGGTGAGTGTTACAGCTCATAAAAACAGTGTGGACCCAAAGAGTGAGCAGCAGCAAGATTTATTGCAAAGAGTGAAAGAACAAACCTTCCACAGTGTGGACTGGGACCCGAGCCGGTTGCCACTGCTGGCTTGGGCAGCCTGCTTTTATTCTCTTATCTGGCCCCACTCACATCCTGCTGATTGGTAGAGCCGAGTGGTCTGTTTTGACAGGGCGCTGATTGGTGCGTTTACAATCTCTGAGCTAGACACAAAGGCTCTCCACTTCCCCATCAGATTAACTTGATACAGAGTGTCCACACAAAGGTTCTCCAAGGCCCCACCAGAGTAGCCAGACACAGAGTGTCAATTGGTGCATTCACAAACCCTGAGCTAGACATAGGGTGCTGACTGGTGTGTTTACAAACCTTGAGCTAGATACAGAGTGCTGATTGGTGTATT